>NT_187673.1:0-170701 GCF_000001405.40 Homo sapiens | reverse complement strand
GAATTCCCCATGAGTCCTGTGACCTCAGCCCACACGGGGACCTACAGGTGCTACGGCTCACTCAGCTCCGACCCCTACCTGCTGTCTCACCCCAGTGGCCCCGTGGAGCTCGTGGTCTCAGGTGAGGGCGCTGACCCTGTCCTCTCTGAGCTCAAAGGCTCAGCTCAGGCCCTGCCCCCAGCAGAGCTCTGGACACTAAGGAAAGAGGGGAGTGAAGGGAGAGGGTCCGCAGGGGAGGGTCCAGCCCATGGGAAGATGGAAATAGACAGGGACCTCCCACCCCTGGCTCCCACCCCTGAAGTCTCAGTAGAGTAAAGTGCAGGGAGGGCTGGGAGGAGACGGGGGGTGAACCTCAAAGGAGTTGAGATTAGACTGAGGGTGGAAGACGGAGGCCCCACCTGCTCCCATCCTGGTGTCTCCACCTCAGAATCAGAGCCTCTGTGTCCCAGTCCCCAACAGACGCCCTCCTGGAGAGAGAAGCATCCAGGCTGCCGGTGCCACCTGCATCCACCCCCGACCCCCCCCCACCCCGCCCCACTTCCTGCTTTCCCCTGCAGCCTCCCCAGCACTCAGCGCACACCTGAGCCTCACAGGGACTTGCACGTGCTCCCGCAGCAGCTCAGGGAATGTGCACCGCTCCTCTTCTGCGCCGTTGACATTTTTTATTTGGGTTTTTAAAATCTCATATTGGCCTTTTTGTCCAAGCTGGTGAAAGTAGATTTGCAGCATCACCTATTTTTATTCTCACCCGGTTTCGTAATAGCCCTGATCTCACGTGCTCCCTGAGGTTTTGTAAACTTCAGGTAGAAATGTGGACTTCCTTCGTTCTGGACATTTGCTATGGAGGGGGTAGGGCTTATCTTTTCAGAAAAAGTCAAATGACTGGTACCACTCCTTGAAACCCTACAGCACTTTCCAGACCTCAGAGGGAGGGAGAGAGAGGCAGAGACAGAGACAGAGAGACAGAGAGAGAGATATTGGGGCCGCTCTTTCCTGGCCGGTTCATCCTGGCCTATTCTCAATCCACCAAGGCCCCGAAGCTCATCTCCCCTCCTCCTCTGCCTCCTCCTCCACCCTGTAGACAAGCGGCCATTCCTTTCTGAAGAACAGGCTGAGACCTTTCTGGGACCTGCTCTTTCTGGAGCCTCTGTTGCTCCCTGTCTGGGTCTCCACACGCCTCCTTCCTGGCCCTTTTTCCTATTGAGGAATCAGCTTCAATGTCACCTCCAAGTGTGACCTTCACTGACGACACAGCTCAGCCCAGTCCTGCCTGCTTCTCATTTATGTCAAGTAATTAACCAACCTACACCATGCGGCTGAATTCCTTCTCTCTCTCTTCCACTCTCTGCATATACGTGTGTGTGTGTGTGTGCGCGTGTGTGGTCACACCAACATCTTACGTGACATTGAAACCTAGTTATCCGTATATCTATACAAATAATATATATTCACACATAAATATAGGTCTCTACCAATATATCTAAAACCATTGCTACGACTAGTAAATTTCCACTGCTGTGTTTCTATATGTTTGCTGTTTGTCTCCAGGTGAACCCACACTTCAAGAAGGCAGAGATAGTTTTTAAGGCCCACTATATATATAAAACAGATATATATTTGTGTTTGTGTTTTTCTGTGTGTGTATCACATTCTACCTGTTGCTGCCTATACGAATAATTAGCTACCTAGAGATTAAATGGACAATGAAACTCCAGGTGAAGTGGCTGAGGGCATGAAGGGGAGGCAGCCCCAGAATTTCACCCCTTTGTGCTTCTGACATTGAGGCTCCCCTGATGACTAACCCTCATCCACGGAGCCTGGGTCCTCAGCTGGTGGATCCGTGAAACTCTCATCTCCGGGGGAGTTGGCTCATGTTCTCCTGTGTCCCAGGCTGCACAGAGAGCACACAGGCCTTAGTGACCTCTGTACTGGGGACCACTTTCCTTGCAGATCCTGAGCTCTCAGGATGCAGGAAAACTCTCTCCCAGATGACTCAGGAGCAATGTTTAAATCCATAGAACACAGGAAAACTGAAATCGTTCAATGAGGAGACTAGAGGGAATCCTGCTAGCGGAGGAAGAGGTTTTTTTTTTTTTTTTTTAGAAATTCTGTAAAAGTCACATCATGAGACATTAAGTAATAAAAAAAAAATTGCAGAGCCCAGGTGAGAGGCTGGGCTCAGGTCTCTTTTTCTCTGTTTTGATTCTCTGGAGCAGCTGATACCCTCAGCCCATCACAAAACAAGTCTGACTCTGAGACTGGTATGTGAGGAGATACTCTCAGTGATGGGGCTGGCACTGAGGGTTGGGTCCTGTGAAGGGGAGGTGGGTGCCCTGGGTGGACAATCTGATCCACCCTGACCTCTGTGACCTCTTTGTCCACCATCCCCAGCCTCACACCTTCAGGATTACGCAGTGGAGAATCTCATCCACATGGGCGTGGCTGGCTTGATCCTGGTGGTCCTCGGGATTCTGTCATTTGAGGCTTGGCACAGCCAGAGAAGCTTCCCAAGATGCAGCCGGGAGGTGAACAGCAGAGAGGATAATGTACTTTATAGAGTCGTGAAGCCTCAGGAACAGATCTGATGATCCCAGGAGGTTCTGGAAGAAAATCTAGGGCCGATGCTATCTGGACTGTCTGCTGGTCATTTCCAGAGGAAGGAATCAATGTCCGAGTGCAGGGACATTTTCTGGGGTGATCCATGGAGAACCATTAAAATGTGATACCTTTCCTCTCCATTAATGTTGACTTTCCTTGGTTGGATCTGCCTCTTTTCCCACACTTAGACATGAGGCTCCATCCCACATGGCAGCGTTGGGTCCACACCTCTGCACACCTGCATGCTCTGGTCCATGGCGTGTCACACAGTCCTCTTCATTTCTCATTGCCACACTTCCTGGTGTACTTTACTGGGTCTTCATGTCTTCAGTTCAGAGTTCCGCACCTGGTTTAGGAACTAATTCAACGGGAGAAGATCAGAGTCCGACCAGGAAAAGATAAATGCACCGTGATGCCCTCACCTCCTGTGTGGACCCTATGAGCTCTTCCCTCCTTATCAGATGCTATCTGTGTAGTTTCTCCTGAAATATCACCACCTGGAATCAACACACTGGCATTTGAAGTCACGACCCAATGGTATGCTAATTCTGAAAAAGACATTTTTTGAAATGCTATGATTAGTGGCATTTACCAATTTCCTTGACGTAAATTCTTTTTTCATGGCCATAATCAAGATGCCAACGAGACATCCCTGAATGCAGGGTTGGGAAGCGTTGGACAGACTTGTCTTCACTCATAAGCACCAGGCATCTGATAGCTCACGTATACATCTTATTACCTTCCATTTTAGAGTGAATAATCATTTCTACTTCAGTATTTTGGCACAGGTAAAAGCAGTCCCATTACTGCGCGTATACCCAAAGGAATATAAATCATTCTATTGCAAAGATACATGCACACATGTGTTCATCGCAGCACTATTCACAATAGCAAAGACATAGAATCAACCCAAATGCCCATCAATGATAGACTGGATAAAGAAAATGTGAGACATATACACCACGGAATACTATGAAGCCATAAAAAGAAACAAGATCATGTCCTTTGCAGGGACATGGATGGAGCTGGAAACCATTATCCTCAGGAAACTAACACAGGAACAGGAAATCAAACGCTGCATGTTCTCACTTACAAGTGGGTGCTGAACAATGAGAATGCGTGAACACAGGGAGGGGAACAACACACACTGGGGCCTGTCGGGGGGGGGGTGGGGTAGGGGTAGGGAGAGCATTAGGAAAAATAGCTAATGTATGCTGGGCTTAATACCTAGGTGATGGGTTGACAGGTGCAGGAAACCACCATGGCGCACATTGACCTATGCAATAAGCCCACACATTCTGCACATGTACCCCGGAACTTAAAATAAAAATAAAAATTAAAATTAAATTATGACACCATGATCCTAGCATATCCAAAAAAGACAAAAATGCCAATATCAAATGTCGGAGAAAATAGGGCTGAATTAAAAATCCAATACAACGCCGGGCGCAGTGGCTCACGCCTGTAATCCCAGCACTTTGGGAGGCCAAGGTGGGTGGATCACTTGAAGTCAGGAGTTTGAGACCAGCCTGGCCAAACGTGGTGAAACCCTGCCTCTACTAAAAATACAAAAATTAGCCGGGTGTGGTGGCACTCGCCTGTAGTCCTAGCTACTAGGGAGGCTGAGGCAGGAGAATCACTTGAACCCGGGAGGCGGAGGTTGCAATGAGCTGAGATCATGCCACTGAACTCCAGCCTGGGTGACAGAGCGAGACTCCGTCTCAAAAAAAAAAACAAAAAAAAAAAACCCTCAAAAGCTCAGGCAGCAAAAGCAAAAATAGGCAAATGAGATCATAGCAAACTGCAAACCTTCTGCACAATCAAGGAAACAAACAGCAGAGTGAAGAGACCACCTACAGAATGGGAAAGAATATTTGCAAGCAAGAGATTAATCTCCAGAAAATACAAGGAGCTCAAACAATGCAGAGGTTTTGAAGGATGGTGATGAGAAGGTTCTGCTACTTACAGAAAGGAAGTTTAGGAGAAACAAAACCACAAACCTAGGTGGTGGGATGGCTTGATCTGCTTCTGTCTGTGACTCACTTAACAGTCTTAAACACATCTCCCTAAGCCTCCTTCCCCCGGTGGGATTCCTGGGTCTTGTGAGGACCTCATCGGTCCCTCTGGTAAACCCAGGCACAGAGTGGAGCAGCTCTTGTTTTCTCAGGATCTTCCCCTTCACATACAATTAACGCACCCACACGATGCTACTCTTAGAACCCTTCAAATAAATGTTTCCCGGTTCATTCACTACCAGAATCCAAGCTCAGCTTGTTCCCCAGCTTAGGACTGAGTGGTATCTTGGAGGTAGTTTCCACCATAGCCCCCTTCCTCTGCTATAAGGCTCAGTGACACACCAGAGACACCCCCTCCAGCCAGGCTCCTGGAAGGTCTGGATGAAGACTGGGATGCTGAGGCATTGCTCAGCAATGTGGCTTAACTCAAACTTCTATGTGAAACTTCCAACCACTTTCAGCAAGGGGTCACTTCCAGCGTCTTGGGGTGTGAGGGCACTTTGGTTGGTCCCTGCAATATCAGACCCTATAAAGATCCTACAAACATGTTGCAGACTCTTTGAAGATTCTGGCACTTTCAGACATGCTGTTGGGAAATGGTGACACCCATAACCTTCTAGTTCCAGGACAGGGAGCCTTAGCCCAGGGCTATGTTTTCTGAGGGTCCTCAAAGTAAACAGTTCTATGTGCCAGGAGAACCCTAAATCTCATATGGTTCTAAGGGCAGAAAGCCACACACGCACCGGCAAAAAGCAAGAGATTCAAGGAAAAGCTGAGCAAAGACAGACAGGAAAACACACACATGATGAGCCAGCTTGTAGAGCTAGAACTGAGATGGAGAGAGGCACGAGTGGGTAACAGAGTGTGCTCCCCAGAACAGGTGGAGAGAATGCCTTTTTCATGCCCTGAGGATAGGCTGGGTAAGGCTTGTGCTCGACAGTCAAGGACTATTTTTTTCCCCAGGCGTCTACAAGAGACCTTCCTTCTCAGCTCAACTGTGCCCTGCAGTAAGTAATGATGGAGAGAATGTGACTTTGCTCTGCAGCTCTGGAAGCTCATTTGACCTGTGCCTTCTAACGAGGAAGGTAAGGCCCCTGGACACTGGCTCACTGGGGTGCAGAGACAGAGTGGGGCATTCAGGCCAACTTCTCTCTGGGTCTTGGGGCTGGTGATGGGACCTCTAGATGCTGCAGCTCTCTGTCGATGGCTCTGCCTGTGAGTGATCAGCCCTAGATGACCACTGTTACTGGGGGTAGCCCATGCCTGCTGCATGCCCTGTGAAACACTAAATCATATAGCCACGTCTGAGGGACAGCCTGCTGGAGACATGGGAATCTTAGGGATTCCAGACAAAATGAAGCAATGAGAAACACAAAGAGGAAAAGAGAGGTTGAGTATGACAGTGGTGTCAGGGTGTAGGGTGGTAGACAGGGCAGCTCCACACTCTCCACTGCTTCCTGTCTGGAGGCCCACTTTGGGGTCCTACTTATCCAGGTGAGTGAAGGAAGAGGTCAGGACAAACACAGGAGGTGAAGCCAGATACAGTGTGGGGAGATAAGCAGTGGCCTCAGCCTCTAGCCCTTTTCCATCTTCCAGAAGCCCCTCCTGAGCTCTCATCACAGACAGATTTCCCATTTGGAAACCCAGATATTTATCATGCCGGGGGGGGGAGGCAATGTCTCTTGATTATGGGGACTTTCCATCACCAGGCACCTGCTAGTCCTCTCTATACCTTCCCTTCAGGAAAGGAATTGTCCCTCATGGGATTCCAGGGAAGAGACCCCAGGACCCCTATCAGTCACTAGGGAGATGACAGAGTAGAGGAAGTCAGGGGACCAACCCTCCACAGAGAATGGTCCTACTTCAGTGGGGTGAGGGAAACTCTCACTCATCCATTTGCTGTCCTGTTACCTCGGAACCCTAAGAGAACTTGTTAGTCACACACAGAATCTACCCCTGAATGTGGTGTGCAAAGTGGGGCTCTTAGCCTCCAGTGTGAAGTCCCTGGGAAGATGGAATGTCCCTGTGTGAGTGAAGGCTGTGCCACCGCCCAGCTATGTGGCCTTGGGCTAGGCAACCCCTCCCAGGTCCCCAGTTCCCCATCTGCATCGGAGACTGTGGCCAGTGCGGGAATCCACAAGGCCCTTCAGCCTCCAAAGCTCTGGGACAGAGGCCTCGTCCACAGGGAGGAAGGGGTCAGAGTGACCTGAGTCCCTACTCAGGAGCGAGTCTAATCCACTCTCCATCGGGGCCTGTGGGGAAGGGAAGATGAAGAAACGGAGCCTGCACCTGGCTATGTGGGCGCAGTAGATTAAGGGGAGGATGAGGGTTCCTGAGAGTGTGTCATGTGGCAGAGACCCTGCAGCACACTCAGGAAGGGCTCTGGAAGGATCCAAGGAAATTTTCCAAGAAGAGGGCAGAGTAAGTGACAGAGACCCTCAACCATGGATTTCACTGAGGTGCCCATGATGACATAGGGAGAACGGGGGTGTCTGGGCAGGAAGAATATCGTCAGGGTGAAATGAATGGTGATGAGCTTCGTGTCAGAGCTCCTGTGGAGGGAGGGGCCTGGCCCACATGAAAAGGTCTCTGATCCTACCCCAGCCCCCAGCCCCTGTTCTCCAGGATGACACTGTGGGAATTCCATCAGGAGGGGTGTGATAGGGCTGGTCTTCCTGGCTCGATTCACAACACTGGCTGGGGACTGGGAACCCATGGGGAGCCACAGGTGGAAAGGGAGGAGCCTCAGTGAACCCAGCAGGAACAAACATAGGGTCTGACATGATGGAACTCACTTCCTGGAGGCCAAGAAAGACACTTGCGGGACAAAAGGGAAAGAGCGGTGGCTTGCTTAGTTCCATTCACTGACAACCCACAGGAGATGTCCAGTCCTTTTTTGATTTATTATTTTATTTTATTATATTTTATTTTATTTTATTTTATTTTCACATGGAGTTTTGCTCCTATTGGCCAGGCTGGAGTGCAATGGCACGATCTTGACTCACTGCAACCTCCACCTCTCAGGTTCAAGCGATTCTCCTGCCTCAGCCTCCTGCATAGCTGGGATTACAGGCGACTGCCACCACAGCCAGGTAATGTTTGTATTTTTAGTAGAGATGAGGTTTTGCCATCTTGGCCAGGCTGGTCTCAAACTCCTGATCTCATGTGATCCGCCTGTATCAGACTGCCAAAGTGTTGGGATTACAGGCGTGAGCCACCACACCCAGCCTTTTGTATTTTTAGTAGAGATGGGGTTTCACCATGTTGGTCAGGCTGGTCTTAAACTCCTGACCTCAGGTGATCCATCCACCTCGGCCACCCAAAGTGCTGGGAGTACAGATGTTAGCCACCGTACCCAGCGAGAGTTTCAGTGCTCTATCGGATTCCCTGCCTACTCCATGTTGCATGTAATGTTCCACCTCAGGGATGTTTCTCTCCTTTCTGTCTCCTTCCTCTTCTCCTTCTCCTTTTTTCTTTCTAATTTTTATTTTTTTGAGACAGAGCCTTGCTCTGTTACCCAGGCTAGAGTACAGTGGCACGATCCCAGCTCACTGCAACCTCTGCCTCCTGGGTTCAAGAGATTCTCCTGACTCAGCCTCTCAAGTAGCTGGGATTACAGGCACCCGCCATCACACCCAGCTAGTTTTTGTATTTTTAGTAGAGACGAGGTTTCACCATGTTGGCCAGACTGGTCTTGAACTCCTGCCCTCAGGTAATCCACCCGCCTGTGGCCCCCCAAAGTGCTGGGATTACAGGCGTGAGTCACCACTCCCAGCCCTGAATGATCTTTCCTCTTTAGTGTGTTCTCACAACCACCTCTCACTGAGCTTTCTTGTTTTTTGTTTTTGTTTTTGTTTTTGTTTTTGTTTTTGGCAGAGTCTGGCTTTGTTGCCTATGCTGGAGTGCAGTGGTGCAATCTCAGCTCACTGCAACCTCCGTCTCCTGGGTTCAAGCGATTCTCCCACCTCAGCCTCCTGAGTAGCTGGGATTACAGGCACCCACCACCACACCCAGCTAATTTTTGCATTTTTAGTAGACACAGGGTTTCACCATGTTGGTCAGGCTGGTCTCGAACTCCTGACCTTGTGATCTGCCAGCCTCAGCCTCCCAAAGTGCTGGAATTACAGGCATGAGCCACCACTCCCAGCCCTGGATTATCTTTCCTCTTTAGTGTGTTCTCACAACTACCTCTCACTGCTGGGTTTTCTCTCTTTCTTTTTTTTTTTTTTTTTTTTTTTTTTTGAGACAGTCCGGCTTTGTTGCCCAGGCTGGAGTGCAGTGGCGCGATCTCGGCTCACTGCAAGCTCCACCTCCCAGGTTCAAGCGATTCTCCCACCTCAGCCTCCCTAGTAGCTGGGATTACAGGCGCATGCCAGCACACCCAGCTAGTTTTTGTATTTTTAGTAGAGACAGGGGTTTCACCATGTTGGTCAGGCTGGTCTTGAACTCCTGACCTTGTGATCTTCCTGCCTCGGCCTCCCAAAGTGCTGGGATTACAGGTGTAAGCCACTGCACCCAGCCAGCTTTCTCATTCTTATCCCTTAGTTCTCTGCCAGGGAATAAGATAGAAACCATTCCCTCAACCACATTCTAGTCATGGTCCCTATTCTCATGTTTCCACTTCTCTCTCTTTGGTAATAAATCAATTAATTGAGAAACAAGTAGCTAAATGTTCATCTTCTGCTAGTCTGCATCCCCTTATTTTCCCAGAGCCTCCCCTAATGAAACTGACTTTATTTACTGAACGCAGGAAATGGGTCTCTCCAGATCAGGATGACTTTCTGCTGGGAAATATTTGTCTTTGCATCAGTGGGGAAAAAGAAAGCCGATGTCATGAGTGGAGGCTCTGAGAAAATAAGGGCTGTGTTTTCAGTTTAGACCCAGCTAAGTTGGGAGCTGACATAGATATGATGTTGGGTCCACCCTCCACGGGCAGGTTTTCAGACAAAGGATCCCTGGCAATCAGGGGACACCTCAGGTCTGGGCTGAGATGTGTGCAGAGGGCCTGGGTCCTCCTGAGCCCCTGCACTGGGGGGGGAATAAGAGACAGGCCCAGCAAGGGGCTGTCCACTTCCTGTGGGTTCACAGCTGTGGGGACCCAGGCAGGCGGCAGCAGGCTCTGACTTAACCACATCCGTGCATCTGTCTGTCATGGAGGGCCATGTGGTCACCTGTCCCACAGCTGGAGCACGCAGAGCAGGCATCATGGTGTCCATCCTCACTGTTCTTCTGTGCCTCAGTCAGTGGTGGAGAGACGAGGGACAGGAGGGGCACTGGGCTGAGGTGGGGAGGGTCCCACAGCAGCCTTGTTCACCAGAGAGCCTCAGGGCTCCAGTGGCTACTGGTGCTCCAACAGGAAGGGAAGCAGCCACACCTCTGTGTTCCAAATCCCCCACAGGAAACTCTTCTCCATGGCTGAGTCTGGGCCAGAAAGCCCAAGCACTTGCAGGTGAGTCTCTGCTAACCTCCCATGCCTGACCTCACACTCAGCACCTGGACTCTCATCTCAGGGGCTTCTGAACTGAGGGTGAGAAAATCAAGAGGGTCTGTGACCTGAGCTGGGAATGAGGAGCGGGGGAGGTCTGTGGACCCCAGCCTGTGGTTTCTTCCAGGGACCCTCCCCAAACCCAGCCTCTGGGCTGAGCCAGGCTCTGTGATTACCTGGGAGAGCCCCATGACCCTCTGGTGCCAGGGGACCCTGGATACCCAGGGTTACTATCTCACCAAGGAAGGAAACCCCATGACCTGGTACCAACAGAGCCCACCAGAGCCCAGGAACAAGACCAACTTCTTCATCCCATCCATGAGAGAGCACCATGCAGGGAGATACCACTGTCACTATCTCAGCCCTGCAGGCTGGTCAGAGCGCAGCGAGCCCCTGGAGCTGGTGGTGACAGGTAAGAGGACACTCAGGGGTCCCAGCCCCAGGCTCTGCCTGCAGGAAGGGGGTCAGCTCTCAAGGGCATCTCCGTTCTAATAACTCAGCCCTGGGGGATGATGTGGGACGCGTGAGCCCCATTTAAGACAGTGTCTCCTTCTCTCCTAGGAGCCCACAGAAAACCCACTCTCTCAGCCCTGCCGAGCCCTGTGGTGACCTCAGGAGAGAACGTGACCATCCAGTGTAGCTCAAGGGTGGGATTTCACAGGTTCATTTTGATTGAGGAAGGAGAAAACAAGCTCTCCTGGATGCTGGACTCACAGGAACTCTCCAAGGGGCTGTCCCTTGTCCCTGGCCCTGTTCCCTGTGGGCCGTGTGGCTGCCAGTCACCGGTGGATGTTCAGATGCTATGGGCATTACACGAACTTCCCCTGGGTGTGGTCGGAACCCAGTGATACCATGGAGATCCTGGTCTTAGGTATGGATGTCTTCCTCCTTGCCCTATTTATTTTTGAGAACTTACTCTCACGGAGCCCCATGTAGGAGGGTGGAACAAGGGAAGTTTGGGACTCCTGAGCCCAGAGACACTGAGTGTGAGAGACAGTGAGACCTGCAGGGCCAGGAGGGGAGAAGGAAGGGGTGTGGGAGGAACCAGCCCTCCTAGTCCCGACTCTTCTTTCCCTCCAGGCGTGTCTAGGAAGCCCTCCCTCCTGACCCTGCAGGGCCCTGTCGTGGCCCCTGGGGAGAATCTGACCCTCCAGTGTGGCTCTGATGTCGGCTATGACAAATTCACTCTGTACAAGGAGGGGGGACATGACCTCGTCCAGGGCTCTGGCCGGCAGCCCCAGGCTGGGCTCTCCCAGGCCAACTTCACCCTGGGCCCTGTGAGGGTCTCCCACGGGGGCCAGTACAGATGCTACGGTGCACACAACCTCTCCTCCGAGTGGTCGGCCCCCAGTGACCCCCTGAGCATCCTGATCGCAGGTGAGGAGCCCAGCAGGTTCAGTCAGGGACCCAGGCTCCGCACAGGCCCTGCTGGGGGAGCCCAGGTGGTGATGGCCGGGATGAGGGGTGGGGGTCCTAAGGGACGGAGAGACAGACAGAGACAGGGGATGGGCGGGGAGGGGGAGACTCAGAGAAAACAGAGACAGAGACACTGAGGGTCCCAGGGAGAGGCCTGGGGAGGTGTCAGCTCAGAACGAGGTGGGGCAGCCCCTCACCCATCCTTCTTCTCTCCAGGACAGATCCGTGGCAGACCCTCCCTCTCGGTGCAGCCGGGCCCCACGGTGGCCTCAGGAGAGAACGTGACCCTGCTGTGTCAGTCACGGGAGCAGTTGGACACTTTCCTTCTGACCAAGGAGGGGGCAGCCCATCACCCACTGCGTCTGAGATCAGAGCACCAAGCTCAGCAGCACCAGGCTGAATTCCCCATGAGTCCTGTGACCTCAGCCCACGCGGGGACCTACAGGTGCTACAGCTCACGCAGATTCTTCCCCTACCTGCTGTCTCACCCCAGTGACCCCCTGGAGCTCGTGGTCTCAGGTGAGGCCGCTGACCCTGTCCTCTCTGAGCTCAAACCTCAGCTCAGGCCCTGCCCCCAGGAGAGCTCAGGACGCTAAGGAAAGAGGGGAGTAAAGGGGGAGGGTCGGCAGGGGAGGGCCCAGCCCATGAGAGGGTGGAAATAGTCAGGGACCTCCTAATCCTGGGCTCCCACCCCAGAGACCTCAGATGGGGCTAAAGGCCAGGGAGGGCTGAAATGAGATATGGAGAAACCTTGGAGGAATCATGCTTAGGCTGAGGGTAGAAGATGGAGGCCCCACCCACTCCCCACCTGGGCTCCCCTGGCGGCCCCAAAATACTCAGTGCATACCTGAGACGAAGGGGAGATCATGCACCTGCTCACTGCAGCAATGCAGGCAAATTATTCAACAGCAAACCTCGTGTGCAATTCCTTTCTGTCCTTTATTTTTTATGTCCACATATCTAGTTTCTCTTTCTGTTTCTGAAGATTTCAAAGCAATGCTGGCATTTATAATTTACACATTTAATTTGTTAGGTAGCGTTATGATGTAAAATAACTGTGCTCTGATTTTCTTTGGGATTAAATTAAATATGTGCATTCATGATGGAGAATAACTTCTCATTAATAATGTCTTTGTATCCAATACATTTAAAATTAAACTTTATACAGTTAGCAGATGCTTGAAGTTGTATTCATAAAAATTGTGGACATTGTGAATTTTAAGCATTGTTTTACTACTTGAATAATTTGAAAGTCTTTGATTCCTTTCTATTTTCTAAAATTAGTTACGTATGGATGAGAAAGCTATTGGTTTGGGTATGCTAATTTTAGTTCCTATTAACTTACCACAGACACACTCCCTTTCAATCCTTTCCGAAATGATCTCTTCTGATTTATTGATAATAATTACATTAACCACAAGAAAATGGAGGACAAACTTGTTTGTTTCTAAATTATATAATACTCTTCTCACTTCAAATATATATGTATGTGTTTATATATACTCACACACTATTATATATCTTATAATATATATTATGTATTATATATTTATATATACACTATTATATATCTTATATATTATGTATTATATATTTATATATACCCACACATTATTATATCTTATAATATATATTATGTATTATATATTTATATATACCCACACATTATTATATCTTATAATATATATTATGTATTATATATTTATATATGCACTATTATATATCTTATATATTATGTATTATATATTTATATTACCCACACATTATTATATCTTATAATATATATTATGTATTATATATTTATATATACACACACTATTATATATCTTATTATATATTATGTATTATATATTTATATATACTATTATATATCTTATAATATATAATGTATTATATATTTATATATACACACACTATTATATATCTTATATATTATGTATTATATATTTATATATACATACTATTATATATCTTATAATATATTATGTATTATATATTTATATATATACACTATTATATATCTTATTATATATTATATATTTATATATGCACACACTATTACATATCTTATTATATATTTATATGTATACACACACTATTATATATCTTATTATATATTATGTACTATATATTTATATATACTATTATATATCTTATAATATATAATGTATTATATATTTATATATACACACACTATTATATATCTTATATATTATGTATTATATATTTATATATACATACTATTATATATCTTATAATATATTATGTATTATATATTTATATATATACACTATTATATATCTTATTATATATTATATATTTATATATGCACACACTATTACATATCTTATTATATATTTATATGTATACACACACTATTATATATCTTATTATATATTATGTACTATATATTTATATATACTATTATATATCTTATAATATATAATGTATTATATATTTATATATACACACACTATTATATATCTTATATATTATGTATTATATATTTATATATACATACTATTATATATCTTATAATATATTATGTATTATATATTTATATATACACACTATTATATATCTTATTATATATTATATATTTATATATGCACACACTATTACATATCTTATTATATATTTATATGTATACACACACTATTATATATCTTATATATTATATATTTATATATACTCACACTATATCTTATAATACATATTATGCATACACATATGCATAATACATATTATCTATACACATATGCATAATACATATTATGTATACACATATGCATAACACATATTATGTATACACACATATTTACACCTATGCATATATGTATGTATGTATGCGAATGTACCTCTGCCACGGCAGGGAAAGGTTCTATCACACAACTACAGAGCAGTTAGGAGAAGTGTAGACACAAAGGAATGCAGCAACTGAGGGACATGTTGGCTTAAGTCTCTTCAACTCCTCACACACCTCCCCCTTTTTTGGTTGATTCTCAGGAGCAGCTGAGACCCTCAGCCCATCGCAAAACAAGACAGACTCCAAGACTGGTGTGTAAGGAGATGCTCTCGGTTATGGGGCTGGCACAGAGGGTCAGGTCCTGTGAAGGGGAGGTGGGTGCCCTGGGTGGACATCCAGGGGTCCCGGGTGATGTTGATCTGCCCTGACCTCTGAGACCTCTTGGTCCACCATCCCCAGCCTCACACCCCCAGGATTACACAGTGGAGAATCTCATCCGCGTGGCTGTGGCTGGCTTGGTCCTGGTGGTCCTCGGGATTCTGCTGCTTTAGGACTGGCACAGCTAGAGAAGTCCCCAAGATGCAGCAAGGAGGTAAATACATGAGAGAACAATGCACCCTTCAGAGTGCCAGAGCCTTGGCAATGAATCTGATAGTCCTAGGAGGTTCTGGAAGAAAGTCTGGACCATCATTCGGGAAACCGTCTACTGAGAAAGTCGAGAAGGGGAGGCTTGGGTCAGGTTCAGGAAGATGTCTGGGTGCCTGTAGAGAACGCTTCCTCCATTAAACTTCCATTAAATGGCAGTGCTTTCAGTCCTGCTGTTGTGGATCCTCCGTGTCTGCCCCTCCCTTCCTTTCGCTCTCTGTGATGTGAAGGCACGTCCCCCATGGTGGGTTTGCATCCACACCCCTGCGATCACGTGCTCTGGTCCACTGTCATGTAATACATTTGTCTTTGTTTCCAACTACCGCATTCTCTAAAGTGAACTATTGATTCTCCATCTTTTCAGTTCTGAGCATAGATCTGGATTAAATAACTGGAATAGGTGGGCAGATTTGTATTTGGGACTTTGAAACATGAGTCTGAGGCCAGGCACAGTGGCTCACACCTGTAATCCCAGCACTTTGGGAGGCTGAGGTGGGCGGATCACTTGAGGTCAGAAGTTCGAGACCAACCTGGCCAACATGGTGAAACCCTGTCTCTACTAAAAGATACAAAAATTAGCTGGGTGTGGCAGTGAGCACCTGTAATCCCAGCTGCTCAGGAAGCTGAGGCGGGAGAATAGCTTGAACCCGGGAGGCGGAGGTTGCAGTGAGCCAAGATCTTGCCACTGCACTCCAGCCTGGGCAACAGAGCAAGACTCCATCTCCAAAAAAAAAAAAAAAAAGGGAAATATGAGTCTGAAATGATGCCCTAGCACCCTCTCTGGACCCTGAATTCCCTTCACTCTTCATCGGATGATACCTGTGTACTTTGTCCAGAAATATCATCTCTCAGAATGAGCACACTAACGCTCGAAGGCTCAGCCTCATGGTATTCTGTTAAACTGGCTCTCTGAAAAAATTATTTTCTTAAGAAAACTCTGAACATATAAAGCCCCAGATTTATGGTATTTGCTGATTAGTGTGGTATAAATACGTCCTTTATGGCCAACTTCAGGGTGCCCATATGACGCCATTGAATGCACAGTTGGGAAGTAGTCAAAAGAATTGTCGTTCACACGAGTATGAACCAGTTGTAAAGTTTATTTAAAGGTTATAATAATTTCTGCTTCATTCTTATGGTGTAGTTTCAGTAAAATTGTAATGTCAAAAATCATAGCACAATGGAGGGAAAAGAAAAAAATAGGCCGGGTGTGGTGGCTCATGCCTGTAATCCCAACACTTTGGGAGGCCGAGGCAGGAGGATCACCTGAGGTCAGGAGTTCGAGACCAGCCTGGCCAACATGGTGAAACGCTGTCTCTACTAAAAATACAAAAATTAGCCAGACATGGTGGCGCCTGCCTGTAATCCCAGCTACTTGGGAGGCCAAGGCACGAGAATCGCATGAACCCAGGAGGCGGAGGTTGCAGTGAGCCGAGATCACTACAGCCTGGGTGATAGAGCAAGACTCAGTCTCAAGAAAAGAAAAAAGTAGCAAAATCATTTTTTGGAAAGAATATTGAACATGTAGAATTTTAGTACATTAATAGTAAGAGTACAAATTGCTTTAATCAATTAAGGAAGTGTATTGGAATTATCTAGTTAAAAAGAGGAGGCACATGGCTGTGACCCTTCTTAATTATGTACTTAATTATGTACCCTAGAGATAAATGTCTACTTATGTGTCATGATACACTCACAACTGTTATAGGAATGCTGTTCCTATTAGCCAAAGCTATAAAATACCAAAGTCCACCTACGAAAAAAATAAACATAGTGTGGTAAATAGACTCAGTGGAATATTACAAGGTAGTAAAATGCATAAATGAAAATAACAAACAGCACCATACTTCAATTTTCAAGCATAAAGTCAAGTAAATGAAGTATTATTTGAAAATGTGTGCATGGTTATTTCATTACATAAAGGTCAAAAGGAGGGTACATTTATTATTTAGGAAAACACACCTAAGATATCTTTGTAAAATCTGTAAAATCAATAGTACTGTTTCCCCTCTTTCATTCCTTATCTTGAAAATGCTTGTCTCTTTTTCTGCCATGGCTTTCTACCTTGCTTGATATATTACAATTTTGTAACCTGCTTATTTCATCATATGTCATAAGTTCACATGTATATCCCATGAATTATTGAGGGTCTTATTCATTTCAAGTGGCATTTAGGTTTTTAAAAATATCTTTTGGCGACCAGGTGCAGTGGCTCATGCCTGTAATCCCAGCACTTTGGGAAGCCAAGGCAGGTGGATCACGAGTTCAAGAGACAGAGATCATCCTGGCGAACATGGTGAAACCCCGTCTCTACTAAAAATACAAAAAAAAAAAAAAAAATAGCTGGGCATGGTAGAGGGTGCCTGTAGTCCCAGCTTCTCAGGAGGCTGAGGCGGGAGAATGGCATGAACCCGAGAGACGGAGGTTGCAGTGAGCCGAGATCGTGCCACTGCACTCCAGCCTGGCAACAGAGTGAGACTCTGTCTCAAAAAAAAAAAAAAAAGAAAGAAAGAAAGGAAGAAAAAAAAATCTTCTGGCATTAACTATTAAGAAATTGCACTATAAAAAGAGAATATAATGCATAAGACGGCAATTTGAAAAGATTCAGATATAATTTTTTCTTATCTAGTAAATACTTAGTAATTTGTCTAATGCATGCCTTAAATACATACCACTTTATGCAGAGGTTGCCATGAGCCGAGATCGCGCCGTTGCACTCTAGCCTGGGTGGCAGAGCAAGACTCCATCTCAAAAAAAAAAAAGAAAATCTCACAGAAGGAGACCCAGAGCTTCCAGCCTCGCCCAGAGTCTTGGCTCACTCCCTGTGTGTGTGGACCCTAGGGAGCCTCTTCTGTTCCCCACAGAGGTGGAAACTTCCTCCTTAATAACCCCTTGATGGTCCCAGGCACTGGTGACCACTGAGCTTTGCTCTCTCTTTTTTCTTATGGTTCCCTGTCTACTTCCAGGGCTATCACTTTACTTTTTGTGCATTAGACCATGAATAATGTTTTAGAAACATTCTATCAAATTTCTCAGTGCTAGGAACAACTGAGGTTTTTGATTGGGTGCCTCAAATGTCTACCCTTACTGTGGAGTCCGACAACAGGATTCTAACAAGTCCCAACCCCTTCATGCCTTAACCTGGTCTGGAAATAAATTATGTTTAAGCCATCCCATACCCCAGCCACATCAAGCCCCACAACCACTCTGAGAAGTGAGATTTATAGCAAAATGCTCCAAACAAGGTAACTAAGGTTCAGACAAGGGATGTTAATGTGTCCATTTACATAAACAAAAAATGGTAGATGATCAGCTTTCCCTTTGAAATCAGAGTACTAATCTGACTCATTGTTCCCTGAATTTTAGAGGCAGGACCTCAGGAGGAGCTAAGAATCCTACCCCAGGAAAATTACCAATATCAGAAAGGAAACAATGACATCAGTACAGATCCTACAGAATTCAAAAGATTCTAAGTGGACATTATGAAGACATTATTCAGCTTAGATGAAGTGGTCACATATCACAAGAAAACAAACTGTCTAAAACAATCTCTGAAATACCTAGACATTCCCTGAATCATTGAGTTATTAAATAAAATACATTTTAAAATTAAACTCTTTTCAGGAAATAAACTTCAATGTCCCCTAGTGCACTCTCCAAAACATGTAGATGGGAATAAATACTGTTCTGAAAGACATTTCCCTGGAATTACAACCATTCAATATATTTTAAAAGGCAATCATAAAAATATAAAAAGGATATATCAGGAGAAGAAATGTAAATGGCCTAAATTCCCCACATAAAAGGCATAGAGTGGCAACGTGGATAAAAAGCCAAGAGCCAACTGCCTGCTGTCTTCAAGAGACCCATCTCACATGTAATGACACCCACAGGCTCAAAGTAAAAGGATGAAGAAATATTTACTAGGCAACCAGGAAACAAAAAAAAGGAAGGCATTCCTATTCTTATATCACATGAAACACACTTTAAATCAACAGCAATCAGGAAGGACAAAGAAGGGCATTACAAAATGATAAAGGGTTCAATTTGACAGAAGACTTAACTATTCTAAATATATATGCACCCAAATTTGGAGCACCCCGATTCATAAAACAAGTTATTCTTCACCTATGAAAAGAGTTAGACAGCCACACAATAATAGTAAGGGACTTCAGTATCCCACTAACAACGTCAGATGAATCACTAAAACAGAAAACTAACAAAGAAATTCTGGTCTTAAAGACAACACTTGACCAATTGGACCTCATAGACATCTACAGAGTACTCCACCCAACAACTGCAGAATATAGATTCTTCTTATCTGCACACACAAAAAACATATCATATTCTAAGACTGGCCACAAAGCAAGTCTCAATAAATTCAAAGAATCAAAATCATAACAAGGCACACAATAAAAATAGAAAAAAATACCAAGATGATCTCTCAAAACTACAGAAAAACATGGAAATTTAACAACTTGTTTCTGAATGAATATTAAGAGCCATCTATGACAAATCCACAGCCAACATCATATTGAATGGTCAAAAGCTGGAACTGTACCCCTTGAGAACTCTTGGGTGAACAATGAAATTAAAGCAGAAATCACAAAACATTATTTAAAATTAATAAAAATAGAAACAAACTTACCAAAACCTTTGGGATGCAGTTAAAGCAGTGATAAGAGGAAAATTTATAGCAATACATGCCTCATCAGAAGTTTAGAAAGATCTCAAATTAGTGACTTAACACTGCATCTAGAGGAACTATTAAAAAAAAGGAACAGTCCAAACCCAAGGCCAGCAAAAGATGAGAAATAACTAAAGTCAGAGAGAACTGAATAAATTGAGACCAAAAAGTCCATACAAGAGATAAATAAAACCAAGAGTTTTTCTTTGAAAAAAAATAAACAAAATTCATAGACTGTTAGCTAGATTAACAAAGAAAAAGAGAAAAGATCCAAATAAACACAAATAGAACTGACAAAACAATGTTACGAACAATCCCACAGAAATAGAAAAGATCGTCAAAGACTATTATGAACACCTCTATACAAACAAGCTAGAAAACCTAGAAGAAATGGATAAATTCCTGGTAACACAAAATTTATCATATTTCAACCAGGAAGAAAGTGAAAACCTGAACAGACCAATAACAAGTTCAGAAATTTAATCAGTAATAAAAACCCTACTAACTAAAAATAGCCCAGGACCAGATGGATTCACAGCCAAAATCCAACAGCCATACAAAGAAGAACTGATACCGATCTTACTGAAACTTTTGGAAAAAATCAAGGAGTGGGGGCTTCTTCCTAACTCATTCTATGAAGCCATCATCACCATGATACCAACATCTGTCAGAGACATAATGAAAAAAAGAAAACTACAACTAAATATCCTTAATGAACATAGACATAAAATCCTCAACAAAATGCTAGCAAATTGAATCTGTCAGTGCATCAAAAGTTAATTCACATGATCAAGTAAGCTTTATTTTTGGGATGCAAGGTTGGTTCAACCTACAAAGTCAACGAATGTGATTCACCTCATAAACATAATTAAAAACAAAAACTATATGATCATCTCAATAGATGCAGAAAAAGCTTTCTGTAAAATCCAACATCCCTTCATGATAAAAACTGTCAATAGGCATCAAAGGAACATACCTCAAAATATTAAGAGCCATCTATGACAAACCCACAGCCAACATCATATTGATGGGCAAAAGCTGGAACCATACCCCTTGAGAACCGAAACAAGACCAGGATGACCACTCCCGCCATTTTAATTCAACATGGTACTGGAAGTCCTAGCCAAAGCAATCAGGCAAGAGAAGGAAATAAAAGGCATTAAAATTGGAAAAGAAGTAGTGATACTGTCTCTCTTTGCTGATGAAATAATTTTATACATAGAAAACCCTAAAGACTCTGTCAGAAGGCTCCTGAAACTGATAAACAAATTCAATAAAGTTTCGGGATTAAAAAAATGTACACAAATTAGTAACATTTCTATGCACCACTAACATTCTAGCTGAGAACTAAATCAAGAACACAATTCCATTTACACTAGCCACAAAGAAAATAAAATACCTAGGAATCCATCTAACCAAGAAGGTGAAAATTCTCTACAAGGAGAACTACAAAACACTTCTGAAAGAAATAAGAAATGATACAAACAAATGGAAGAATATTCCATGCTCATGAATTAGGAGAACAAATAGTTAAAATCGCCATACTTCCAAAAACAAATTGCAGACTCAATGCTATCCATTTCAAAATGCAATGTCATTTTTCACGAAATTATAAAAATTTATTCTAAAATGTATTTGGCACCAAAAAAAGAGCCTGAATACACATAGGAATCCTAAGCACAAAGAACAAAGCCCAGGCATCACATTACCCAACTTCAAACTATACTACAATGCTATAGTAACCCAAACAGCATGATACTACTACAAAAACAGACACATAGACCAATGAGACAGAATAGAGAACCCAGAAATGAGGCTACATACCTACAATCATCTTTGAAAAAATTGACAAAAACAAGCAATGTGGAAAGTACCCTTTCTTCAATAAATAGTTCTGGGATAACTGACTACTCATATGCAAAATAATAGAACTGGACCCCTAACTCTCACTATATACAAAAATTAACCCAAGATAGTTTAAAGATTTAAATGTAAAACCTCAAAATATTAAAATTCTAGAAGAAAACCTAGGAAATATCCTTCTCAAGATAGACTTTGGCAAAGAATTTATGGCTAACTCCCCAAAACCAATTGTGACAAAGACAGAAATTGGGACCTAACTCAACTGAAGAGCTTCTGCACAGCAAACGAAAGTATCAACAGAGTAAACAGATAACCTACAGACTGGGAGAAAATATTTGCAAACTATGCATCTGACAAAGTTCTAATATCCAGAATCTATAAGGAATGTAAACAAATCAACAAGCAGAAAACCAAAAAACCTCAATTAAGTATGACATGAACAGACACTTCTCAAAAGAAGATGTACACATGGCCAAAAAACATATGAACAAATGCTTATTATCAGTAATCATCAGAGAAATGCAAATTAAAACCACAGTGAGATACCATCTCACAACAATCAGAGAAGCAGAAGCAATTACTAAAAAGTTTTTTGTTTTTTTTAATAACAGATGCTGACAAGATTGTGGAGAAAAGGGAACACTTATACACTCTTGGTGGGAATGTTAACTAGTTCAGCCAATGTGATAAGCAGTTTGGAGACTTCTCAAATAACTTAAAATAGAACTACTATTCAATCAAGCAATCCCACTACTGGGTATATACCAAAAGGAAGGTAATTAACTATGTCAAAAAGACACATGCACTAGTATATTCATTGCTGTGCAATTCAGAATAGCAAAGATTTGCAGTCAACCTAAGTGCTCACCAACAGTGGATTAGTTAAAGAAAATGTGCTACATATACACATGGAACATTACATGGCCATAAAAAATAATGAAATCATGTCCTTTGCAGCAACATGAATGTAGCAGGAGGTCAATCTCCTAAGTGAACTAACCCAGGAACAGAAAACCAAATACCACATGTTATCACTTATAACTGAGAACCAAACATTGAATACACATGAACATAAAGATGGAAACAACAGATACCGAGGACTACAGATGGGGGGAGGAGTAGGGAGGTATAGGCTGAAGAAACACCTGTTGGATTCTATGCTCATTGCCTGGGTGATGGCATTGTTGGAACCACAAACCTCAGAGTCACACAATATGCCTATGTAACAAACCTGCATGCATACCTTTAATCTACAGTAAAGGTTGAAGTTATTTAAAAATAGGAAGAAGAATTACCCTATACCTAAAGCTAAGATTTTTCCCTTTGAATATTCGTTTCTTCATCACTGTAGATAAGCAGGGAAAGAAAAATTATTATACTATACTAGCCTTTTATGTGACCATGAGGATTTGGGGTAGGTAGGTGGACAGCTTAGATAATTCACCAGGATATTGATACAGGCTCCATGGCTGGAAATAACCAAGGATGAGTGCTGTGTTTTGAGTGGTCTCCCCCAGAAACGTTTGTTGAAATCCTAACCCCTGGTATGTATGAATGTGAATTCATATTATATAAAAAGGAATAAATAGCCTGAGCACAGTGGCTCACACCTGTAATCCCAGCACTTTGGGAGGCCAAAGCAGGTGGATCATTTGAGGTCAGGAGTTCTGGCCAATATGGCAAAACTTCATCTCTACAAAAAAAAAATACAAAAAAAAAAATTGGCTGGGTATGGTGGCGCATGCCTGTAGTCCCAGCTACTCAGGAGGCTGAGGCAGGAATTGCTGAAACCTGGAAGGCAGAGGTTGCAGTGAGCCAAGATCATGCCACTGCACTCCAGCCTGGGTGAGACGGCAAGATATTCTGTCAAAAATAAATAAATAAAAAACAGAAGAAGAAATACAAGAATGACAGCAAACTTTGTATTCAAAACTATGAAAGTAAGAAATAGGTGGACCAACATTTTTAAAGTGCTACAAGAAAATATTTCAAACTAGAATCTTTCAACCTGAAAAGGAAAACATTTTCCTGCAATAAAGGTGCCATTAAAAATGTCTCACAATTTATTACATGAAGCATTGTTCTACAATAAATGTTAAGCTCTTGAAGCAAAGATTAATGATACCATTTAGTAACTTGAAATTCAAAAAAGTGGAAGTATCCCAAGAGGCAAATACGTGTGCAATTATTAAATGTTTCATATCAACACCCAACCTTATGCTGTCTACATAAGCTGCACTTCAAATACTAATCCACAAGATGTAAATATTGAAAGAATGACATTACATTGTCATGATAATGCCCAGTGCAAAATATGCTTCTAGTCAGTTGTATACATAGAATAGGTAAATGTTTGTAATAAAAAGTATTCCTCAATAGAAGTTTCTTAACTCAAAGAATGAAATATTTCACCATGCACATACAAAGAAGAGATATATGGAGATATGAAGAGGAGTACTTCATAATGACAAAGAGGCAAATTCATAAATAAGACATAATAATCCTAAATGCCTACACACCTAAAGCTGGAACCTCAAAACACATTAAATTAAAGGCATAATTCAAAACATAATCAATCACATCCAAATTGCAGCTAGAGATAGCAACATTCACCTCACTTCCAGAACAAGTACACAGAAAATTATTAAGCATATGAAAGACTTGAAAAACATTTGTGTAGGCGGCGGGTGCATAAGGTTGGGTGTTGATATGAAACATTTAATAATTTCAATAATCCTAGCACTTTGGGAGGCCAAAATGGGAGGATCACTTGAGGCCAGGAGTTTGAGACCAGCCTGGGCACCATAGTGAGACCCCGTCTCTATTTTTTTTAAATAAAGAAAAACATTTGAATGATTTTTTTCTTAACTGACATTTAGAAAACATCCACCTCAAATCTTCCTAATCCACAAACTTGTCTAGCACCCCTGGAACATTCACCAAAATAAATTTTTAAATGCTGAATCATAGGTAATATGATAGATGAAACAGTTGAATTAAATTATAAATGTACAACAAGGAAATGCTGGGGAAATTATCAAATATTTTAAAATTAATAAACACACATAGCAATAAACAATGAGTGGAAGAAAAACATTTCAAAGAAAGGTGGAAAATATTTTGTATCAATTAAAAATGAAAACACATCTCGGCAAATGACTGGGGATACAGATAGAACAGTGTTAAAGGAAAATAAGCCTCAAATGTCTGTGTTAGAAAAGAAGGAAGAGCTGAGTAAATAGGTAACTTTCGCTTGCAGAAATACTACACATCAGCAAATTAATTCCAAAGTAACGTCGAGGAAAAACATAAAATGGCAAGCAAATATATACGTGCATATGTACGTATATTCATAAATGACAAACAGGACAGAAAAATCAGTGACATCAATTTTGTTCCTTAGAAGAAACAGGAAAATTGACCCCAAAAAACTTTCCAGGCCACATTTGGTCATGATGGAAATATTTTGGCACTTCCTGGTTAAGCTCAACACCAACTTGCACCCAAAACCAATAATTTCATTCCTAGGTAAATATGTCTAATTAATTCAGCATATGTATGCAAGGGATCACACAGAAACACGATTATCAAGGCCCGAGTTATAAAAGAGAAAATCCGGAAACAACACAAATGTCCATGATAAAAAGAGTGGATAATTACATGTTGATAAAGTTATGTATGGACTATTAAACTGCAATCCAAAAGAATAAAATAGAACTATAAAATTCAATATGTATATGGTGTCATAGAAACACAAATGTGAGAAAAAGAAAGAAAAATACAAAATTTATATTTTTTAAAATTTGAAACAACTATATATGTGAGTGCTTAGGGTGTGTGTGTGTGTGTGTGTGTATAACCATATGTATATAAACGCACACATACGCACACATATAGAATGTCCCGGCCAGGCATGGTGGCTCACACCTGTAATCTCAGCACTTTGGGAGGCTGAAGTAGACAGATCACTTGAGGTTAGGAGTTCAAGACCAGCCTGGCCAACATGGAGAAACCTCCTCTCTACTAAAAGTACAAAAATTAGGTGGGCGTGATGGTGGGTGCCTGTAAATCCAGCTACTTAGGAGGCTGAGGCACGAGAATTGCGTGAACCTGGGAGGTGGAGGCTGCAATGAGCCGAGGTCTCACCACTGCATTCCAAACTGGGTGACGAAGTGAGATTGCGTCTCAAAAAAAAAAAAAGTTCTAAAAGTTGTGACTTGGGTGTGGCAGATTGTGACATACTGCCAGCTGCTAGAAATGCTGGGGCAGGAGGATTGCTTGAACTCTGAAGTCAAAGAACAGCCTGGGGAAAATAGCACATGAAGAAGAGTTTGAATCTCAGATAAAAACAACAAAAATACATCAAAAGTCTTTAATGTAAGCCAAGCATTCAGTCATCTCCTGTATGAGAGATTGGATCTGAGACGTGTTTTGAGTTGGTTATAGTGAAGGATGCAAGGTGTCAATTCTAGTTGGAACAATTTCCAGGAAGCCATGTTCCGCTCTTGACCAAACAGCCACTGGGCCTCATGCAAGGTAGAAATAGCCTGCATACGTCATCCTCCCATGATGTGGTCAGCATGTAAACTGCATGAGCCCCTCACAACATCCTGTGTGCTGCTGAACTGAGCTGGGGCGCAGCCGCCTGTCTGCACCGGCAGCACCATGTCGCTCATGGTCGTCAGCATGGCGTGTGTTGGTGAGTCCTGGAAGGGAATCGAGGGAGGGAGCGCTGGGGTGGAGATCTGGGCCTGGAGTGGAGATCTGGGCCTGGAGTGGAGATATGGGCCTGGAGTGGAGATATAGGCCTGGAGTGGAGATATGGGCCTGGGGTGGAGATATGGGCCTGGAGTGGAGATATGGGCCTGGAACTGTAGATATGGGCCTGAAGTAGAGATATGGGCCTGGAGTAGAGATATGGGCCTGGAACTGTAGATATGGGCCTGGAGTGGAGATATTGGCTTGGAGTGCAGATATGGACCTGGAATTGAGATACGGGCCTGGAGGTGGAGATATGGGCCTAGAGTGGAGATATGGGCCTGGAGGTGGAGATATGGGCCTGGAACTGTAGATATGGGCCTGGAGTAGAGATACGGGCCTGGAGTGGAGATGTTGGCTTGGAGTGCAGATATGGGCCTGGAATGGAGACACGGGCCTGGAGGTGGAGATACAGGCCTGGAGGTGGAGATATGGGCCTGGAGTGTAGATATGGGCCTGGAGTAGAGATATAGGACGGAGGTGGAGATATAGGCCTGGAGTGGAGATATGGGCCTGGAGTAGAGATATAGGACGGAGGTGGAGATATAGGCCTGGAGTGGAGATATGGGCCTAGAGGTGGAGATATGGGCCTGGAGTGGAGATATGGGCCTGGAGGTGATGTACAGATGGATCATCCATCATGATCTTTCTTTCCAGGGTTCTTCTTGCTGGAGGGGCCCTGGCCACATGTGGGTGAGTCCTTCCCCCAAACCTTAGGTTGTCATCTCCCCACATAAGATGATGCTCCTGAAACGGGAGGCAGGCGACACAGGGGGTTGACTGATGGGCTGACCATGGGAAGCCATGTGGGAATCTCTCATGAACTAGGAAAAGGAAGCCAGGGGAAGCTTCGCCACAGTTCTGTCCTAGCCCTCCCCGGCCTTTCTTTCCCTTGGCTGAGTCTGTGGGGACCCAGGGGGAGACTGAAGTGCTCAAAGGAGTGGTGTGCAGGGAGGAAGTGGTGTCACCGGCAGAGGAAGGGAGAGAAGCAGTGCAAGGAACAACAGGCCTCTGAGGACAAGAGCATAACTCACACCCTCCAGCGTTTCCATGACGGTAGGGGCTGCAATGTGGCTGCTGTCATTCTACCTAAGAGGTGGGGGAACCACAGTCATGACCCTGACATTCCAGATCTTCTAATAGGGGCTCAGTTGTTTATTATGGTTCATGCATTAGCTGATCATGCCCTCCATCCTGTGTCTACCTTGTGTTCTTTTATGTAAGTAATTTTGCAGTGTTAAAATCTAGTAAGAGTCGCTTCTTCAGCACCTGCTCAAAGTTCTCAGCTGACACTTGCTGTAGGGAGACGCCATGTCTATGCGGGATGGGTCCTTCCTGTAGCCCTGGGCACCCAGGTGTGGTAGGAGCCTTAGAAACGTGGAAATGGGAGAATCTTCTGAGCACAGGGAGGGAGGGGCGGCTCCACATCCTCCTCTCTAAGGTGGTGCCTCCTTCTCCCCCAGGTGGTCAGGACAAGCCCTTCCTCTCTGCCTGGCCCGGCACTGTGGTGTCTGAAGGACAACATGTGACTCTTCAGTGTCGCTCTCGTCTTGGGTTTAATGAATTCAGTCTGTCCAAAGAAGACGGGATGCCTGTCCCTGAGCTCTACAACAGAATATTCCGGAACAGCTTTCTCATGGGCCCTGTGACCCCAGCACATGCAGGGACCTACAGATGTTGCAGTTCACACCCACACTCCCCCACTGGGTGGTCGGCACCCAGCAACCCTGTGGTGATCATGGTCACAGGTCAGAGGCTTTCTGTCTGGGCTTCTCACTGTCCCACCTCCTGAATCCCAGAGCTTCTGGTGGGGGCGTCCATCAGGGTCCAATCATCCAGGCCCCGACTGTATTTGGGGTAAAGGGGGATTCAGTACAGAGAAATAGTTGCTGTGGTGGGAAGAATAATTGTCCCCAGTGATGGCTACATGGTAATCCATGAACCCTGTGACTATTTATGTTATAGGGCAGGGGACTGAAGAGGAAGATGGAGCTCAGGTTGTTGATGAGTTGACCTTGCGATGGGGAGACAGCCTGGACTGTCCTGCTGTGCTCAGAGTAATCACAAGGGTCCTCATGAGAGGAGGAGGAAGAGGAAAGTGGGGTTAGAGCAACGTCGTGGGAGGGAGACTCCATCAGCCACAGCGGGCTTTGAAGATGGGGGAAGGCCATGAGCCACAAAGGCAGGTGGCCTCTAAGGGCTGGAGAAGTCAAGGGAACTGATTCTTCCCTGAGTCTCCAGAGGAAACACAGCCCTGCAGATGCCTTGATTTTAGCCCAGAGAGAACTGGGTCCGATTTCTGTTCTCCAGAAGTGGAAGAGGTCATTGTATTCTCTCCTGCCCCATGTTTGTGACAATTTTCTCCAGCAGCAACAGGAAACCAACACAGGAACCCAGGTGAAGCACAGGTTAAGAAACCAAACAAGGAGAAGGTTGGCTACACTGATTTTAGCATGGGTGGGATACTGATGCTACCACCAGGCTCGATCCACATAGGGAGGGGTTGATGCTCCTGGAACCAGCACCAGGGGCCACCCTATGGAAGCTGGGGCCATGGAGAAGGCACAGACATGAAAGGAGAGGCTCCCAATCCCCATCAGGAACAGGGACACTGATGCCTGCCTTACTGATGAGTTCGTACCTCCTGCCGGCCTTTCCAATCTGTCCAAAAGAGATTGATTCAGGCTGCTAAGAGCCTGGACATGCAGCCTGTCATGGTTCCTCTTCCACCCCCACATAAACACCAGGAAAGAGATTAGTGGGAAACAGATACAACAGCCTAAGAGGTGACACTGAGCACAGTGGGAAGGGAATCAGGGCTACTAGAGACAGAGAGACAGGGAAGAGGGAGGGAGACAGATGGAGGGACCTGCAACAGGGGTTATGGGCACAAAAGAACACGGAGACACAGACAGGAAGGAGAGAGATAGACACCATGGAGGGGAAGCCTCACTTATTTCAGGTCCCATGAATGGGATGAGAAAGGGAGACGCCTTCTGAACTCACAACCTCTCTTCTTAGGAGTCCACAGAAAACCTTCCCTCCTGGCCCACCCAGGTCCCCTGGTGAAATCAGGAGAGACGGTCATCCTGCAATGTTGGTCAGATGTCAGGTTTGAGCGCTTCCTTCTGCACAGAGAGGGGATCACTGAGGACCCCTTGCGCCTCGTTGGACAGCTCCACGATGCGGGTTCCCAGGTCAACTATTCCATGGGTCCCATGACACCTGCCCTTGCAGGGACCTACAGATGCTTTGGTTCTGTCACTCACTTACCCTATGAGTTGTCGGCTCCCAGTGACCCTCTGGACATCGTGGTCGTAGGTGAGAGAATACAGACCTGCCTCTCACCCTTGCTGGGAGATGGAGTGAATGATCTAGGACTGGAAGCCCCAGGTGGTCATGAGGAAGATGAGTGTGGGGTTCCTATGGAGAGAAAGTGACTTGGTGAGGTCTGTACCAACAAAGGCAGAGAAACAGGAGACACAAGTACAGACCTCATGTCATAACATAGAAGCCAGACACAGGGGCCATACAAGGTGTTAGAAAAAGAGATAAAGAGGTAAAGAAGACACAGAGAGACAGACATATCCCAGAGAGAGGTGTCCTTCTATGCTGACTTTGTTCAGAGACCAGGCACAGGTTAGAAGGTTCCATTCTGTTTTACCTCTACAAAGTGTTCTCTCCCAGGAGAACCCAAAGAGACACATCTATCTGGCCTGAGTTGGGCCATGTGGCCCCAGGCTGGTGGCACCTACAGATGTTGTGTTTATTCTTAAACCTCTGCCTTCCGTGCAGTGGAGCTGTCATCGTCCCAGGACACCATGGCCCCAGGTGAGGGAGCAGAACACCAACCCCTGTATGCTGTGAGTTCCTGGAGTCCCCATACTGGATTCTGAGGCTCATATTCAAATAGCACCACATGTTATAGGATTACTGAGAACAAAAGCCCACAGAGAGACACGGAGTGAAATCAGGGAAATCAAAAAGCAAAGACATGAACACACACACAGAATGAGCCAGAAGAAGGGAATTGAGAGACTCACAGACACATAAAGAGATAGAAAAAGAGGGCAGAGAAGTGGAGCGTATGATGGAAGGAAGCAGAGAAAAGCCCTAAAATCAGAGCCCTGAGGGAGGGGCACAAAGACAGGGAAAGATAAAGATGTGAGGATGGATTGCAGAGACTCCAAAAGGGAACTAGAGAGACTGAGAGGCAGAGAAAGACAAGGAGATGGAGAGAGACAGATGATAGATGGACAGATAGATATAGATAGATGAAAGATAAAAGGTAGATGATAGATAATAGAGAGACAGGTGATAGACAAATAGATGATGAATGACTGATAGATGATATAGATAGACAAGTAGAAAGACAGACAGATGATATATAAATAGATATAGAGAGATAGAAAGACAGATAAACACATGATGATAGATGGATAGATGCATACATACATACATTGATTGATAGATGATAGATAACAGAGAGATAGGTCATAGATACACAGATGATGATAGATGATAGATACATACATAGATAAATGATAGATCGATCAATAGATAATAGATAGAAATATGCAGAAAGTTATGAGCAAGACAGAAAGTGAGAGACTCAGAATTAAAGAAAGAGGAAGATCAAGTCAACCAGTCCAAGGAGGGTCAGAGAGAATAAAATGGTACAAAAAAAGAAAACATAGCTAGGGATGGAGAAGTGAGGTCAGAGACCTAGAGAGACAGAGAAGGTGGAAGGAGGAAATAGACATGAAGAGAGATGGGGGTGGAGGGTGAGAGAGAGAAAGAGAGCATTAAGTCATAGAGCAGGGGAGTGAGTTCTCAGCTCAGGTGTGAGGAGAGCTGTGACAAGGAAGAACCTCCCTGAGGAAACCACCTCTTCTTCTTCCAGGTCTATATGGGAAACCTTCTCTCTCAGCCCAGCCGGGCCCCACGGTTCAGGCAGGAGAGAATGTGACCTTGTCCTGCAGCTCCCGGAGCTTGTTTGACATTTACCATCTATCCAGGGAGGCGGAGGCCGGTGAACTTAGGCTCACTGCAGTGCTGAGGGTCAATGGAACATTCCAGGCCAACTTCCCTCTGGGCCCTGTGACCCACGGAGGGAACTACAGATGCTTCGGCTCTTTCCGTGCCCTGCCCCATGCGTGGTCAGACCCGAGTGACCCACTGCCCGTTTCTGTCACAGGTGAGAAAACACCATGCCTGTCCCATGTCTTGTGATCCTAGAGCCATAGCTGAGGAGCTTCCTGCTGATGATGGAGAGAAGCATGGACAGATGCCGAGACAGAACACACAGCATGGGTGTAAGGGCGGGGTCAGGGCGCAGGATGGCAGACAGGGCACCTCCAAACCCTCCTGTATGGCCTGCAAGGATGCCCTTGATCAGGGTTCCAGGCACCCAGGCAGATGGAGAAAGAGGTCAGAACAGACCCAGAGGAGGGAGACTGGGCTCTGCCTGGGGAGATCAGAGGTTCTCTCAGCCCCTCAACCTTACCCACTTCCCAGAAGCCCATCCTGGCCTGTCACCCACAGAGAGATGTCATCACCAGCAACGCCTACACCCTTTTCTTTTTGTTTGAAGAAATATTTATTGAGGTGAAATATACCTATGTAATTTACCACCTTTACCATTTTTAAGTGTGAAGTCTACTGTTCATAAATACATTTATAGGCTGGGCACGGTGGCTCACGGTTGTAATCCCAACACTTTGAGAGGCCAAGGCAGGTGGATCATTTGAGATCAGGGGCTCAAGACCACCCTGGCCAACATGGGGAAAATCCATCTGTACTAAAAATACAAAATAATAATTATAATGATAATAATTAGCCGAGCATGGTGGCACATGCCTGTAGTCCCAGCTACTTGGTAGGGTTGGGCAGGAGTTGCACTTAATTGCAGGAGGCGGAGGTTGCAGTGAGCTGAGATCATGCCACTGCACTGCAGCCTGGGCAACAGAGAGAGACACTCTCTCAAAATTAATTAATTAATTAATTAGTATTCTTTTTTTTTTACCCTCCACCCTTCCCTTCCTGGCCTCTGGTAGCCACCATTCTACTCTCTACCTTTGTGAGATCCACCTTTTAGCTCCTGCATATGAGTGAGAAATGGAAATACTTGTAATGACCTCCAGTTCCATTCATGTGGCTGTAAATGACAGGATGTTACTCTTTCTATGGATGAGTTGTCCCTATTGTGTGTGTGTACCACATTCTCTCCATCCATTCACCCACTGATGGGCAGGTAGGTTGATCCACATCTTGGCTACTGTGAACACTGCTGGAACAGTCATGGGAGTGCAGATGTCACTTCGATACGCTGATGTCCTTTCCTTTGGGTTTACACCCAGTCATGGAATTGCTAGATCCTCTGGAAGTGTCTTTTTACATTTTGTTTTATGGTTTTTGTTTTTGTTTTTGTTTTTTTTAGACTGTTTCACTCTTGTTGCCCAGGCTGGAGTGCAGTGGCGCCATCTGGGCTCACTGCAACCTCCACCTCCAGGATTCAAGAGATTCCCCAGCCTCAGCCTCCCAAGTAGCTGGGTTACTGGCTCCCACCACCACACTCGGCTAATTTTTATATTTTTAGTAGAGACAGAGTTTCGCTATATTGGCCAGGCTGCTCTTCAACTCCTGACCTCAAGTGACCTACCCACCTCGGCCTCCCAATGTGCTGGGATTACAGGCATGAACCACTGTGCCCGACCTCATTTTATTTTTTGAGGAACTTCCATACTCTTCTCCTCTGTAATGGCTGTACTAATTTACATTCGTATCAGCAGTGTACCAGATGCAACCCTGGTTGACTCAGCAGAGCAAGAGACGTGCAGTAAGAGAGAATTTAGCTTATTTATGCACACGACACTTCCACTCACTCACTCGTTCAGCCAATGCCCCATGCTCAGGCTGTGCAGTGTGGAATCTTTTCCTATTGTTGCCATAACAAATTTCCACAAGCTTCGTGGATGAAAACATGTTTTTCTTAATTATCTCACAGTGCTGTAACTCAGAAGTATGAACTGCATTTCACTGGGCTGATATCAAAGGGACAGTAAGGCTGGATTTCTTTTTAAGGTTCCAAGCAAGAATCTGCTCCTTAACGTTTCCCAGCTCCTAGAGGCTCCCACGTTCCTGGGCCCCTGGTCCCCTTCCTCCTTCCTCCTTCCTCAAAGCCCACAAAGGCTGGTCACGTCTCACATGGCATCATTCAGACTCTTCTTCTTTACCCACACCTTTTTCTCTGAATCCTGCTCTGCCTTCTTCCTCATCTTTTAAGGACTTTGGGATTCTATTGGGGTCACCAAGATAATCCATCTCAATCTCCCTAAAATCATCCAGCGTACCCTCTTTTTAAGTTCAGCTGATTAGCAACCGTAATGCCATCTGCAATCTTCATTCCTCCTTTCCTGTAAAATAACATATTCACAAGCTATGGAGGCTAAGACAGGGACATTTTGGGGGTGGGGCAGCATTCTCCTGCCTTCCACAAATGGTAAACAGGATGCATTTGGCCTCTGCTCTTGGGACGCTGATATTGCAGATGGGTAAATGCGAGGGCAGAGAATGAATGCACAAGGGTACCAATAAATGAATGATCCATTGGGAAGCATCTGTGCACCAAATCTGGGGTTTTTTGTGTGTGTGTGTGTTTTTTGTTTTCTTTTTTTTTTTGAGTAGAGTCTCTCTCTGTTCCACAGGCTGGAGTGCAGTAGCACAATCTCAGCTCATTGCAACCTCTGCCTCCTGGGTTCATGCAATTCTCCTGCCTCAGCCTACCGAGTAGCTGGGATTACAGCTGTGCGCCACCACACTCGGCTAATTTTTTTGGTATATTTTTTTAGTAGAAATGAGGTTTCACCATGTTGTGCAGGCTGTCTCAAACTCCCAATCTCAAGTGATCCCACCGCCTTAGCGTCCCTAAGTGCAAAGATTACAGGCGAGAGCTACTGCGCCCAGCCAGGATTTAAAATAAGTAATAGATAATGCTGAGTATATAATTTCAGGTGACAGAGAAGGTCTCACTGATCAGATAATATTTGTGACCTTAATGGAAAAAATGGATTCAACCCTTGGAAGATTGGCGGAAGGATTTTCCACACTGAGCTCTCAGCCGTGAAGGCACAAAGGTGGAAACATTCTTAGTTCAAGGAAGAGGCTCTGCCTCAAATGCTGGGAATGAGATGGGGAGAATGACAAGACAACTGTAGAGAGATGGAGAGCACACTGGGTACACAGGAAACTAAGGAGGAACAAGGAGCATGTTTTTGATACTCACAGCCCTTGGATTCAACTCAGAGCTAACTAGGAATCCCTACCTGATTAACAGTGACCGACATGAAAATAAGGGAGGCCCAGGTGCGTAACTGGAATCTAGGAGACCGTGGAAAAGGCAATTCCCGCCCCACTGGTGAAACGTAGGGTTGATTTACACACTAAATGAATGAAAGATGGATATAAGCTATGCTTGTGAGGTAGAATCATTTGCAGGGAGGGCTTGCTGGGTTTGATTTTTCCTAGTAGTTTAATCCTTGTTTCATTAATTTCTTTCTGAGATGTGTTTTTTTTCTACATCTAAATCAATACCTGGCAGAGGAGCGATAGACACATGAGGGGTGGTGCAAATGAAGGGACCTAGTATAATATAATATACAAGACTGTGGATGGGGGCTCACACCTGTAACCCAACACTTTGGGAGGCCAAGGCGGGTAGATCACTTAAGGGTAGGAGTTTGAGACCAGCCTGGCCAACATGGTGAAACCCCGTCTGTACTAAAAATACAAAAATTAGCCTGGTGCATTGGCACCTGCCTGTAATCCCAGCGACTGGGGAGGCTGAAGCAGAAGAATGGCTTCAACCCTGGAGGCAGAGGTTGAACTGAGATCGCATCACTGCACTCCAGCCTGACACAGGGGGACTCTGTCTCAAAAAATAAAAATAAAACATACATAATTATGACACACAGAAATTACAAAGGCAACTGGATACCAACCATCATTTTTCTATTTCTCTGTGTTTAATTCTTTGACCCTTTATCTTATCCATTAAACAATCAGGTTAAACCTCTTCCTTATTTGGCTTTCTGTGAGCTTGGGATCATATGGAAAATGTGAAAGCCTCCTGAACCCACCAGCACAGGTCCTGGAATAGAGAACGTGCTCTGTTCATGGCATAAAACTTGCCCCTTCACCCAAATCCCCCAATTCATCTCTACTTCCAATCACCTATGGAGATACAGATAGATCATGGGGAGGTAAACACTAATACTCTTTGGAGTGAGCTCAGATCTTGGACTCAGAGACCAGTGCCAGCACTAGCCCCTGGTCACATTTCGTACTAACTCACAGAAGGACAGGCTGTATTGAAACAATAAACGACGGAGAGGGCGGTCCTTCCCCGTGCTTCTCGGGTGGAATAGCAGCCTAATATATGTCTCAGCAGATCACAAAAAGTAGCATGTTGTTCCTGGGCTACATCATTATTTCATGGCTGTTTGATTTAAGTCAGTTCTACTTCACTTTTTTTATCTTGATTTCATTTTTTCTTTCTTTTCTTGGAGAATGTAATTTTTTTGAGTCAAGAGGGTTGTGGTGGTAGAAACTGTAAAGCACATTCGCTGTGTATCAATCCCAATCCAGTCTTCCCAGAGAAGATTCTAAACACCTCCTGGAATGCACCTGGGCCTATACCAATTCCTATCACTCACCGTCACTCCAGGGAGACAGAACACACAGAGAACACATTACACAGGCAGGTTCATTACTAACAGATAAGCAGCGAGTGACAACAGAAACCTACATTTCAATGTGAGCCAGTCCCTCAAGGCTCAGAAAAGCTGCTCGAGACATGTGGAGTCACCCCATATGCAGTGTATCTGGGGGAAATCAAAAAGCAGCCCAGCCTGGGTTTTGTACCCTGGAGCCACAGGAAGCACTCAGCTAAAGCACTGCATGACGTCCTCCTCCAGGAAGAACAGGAAGACAGCCCAGGCTGTTCTGGGATGTTCCTCCTGATCTCAGGACGTTGCTGTCTTAGTCCATTTTTGTTGCTCTAAAGGAACACTTGAGCCTGGGTAACTTCTAAAGACAAGAAATGTGTTTGCCTCACAGTTCTGCAGGCTGTACTGGAAGCATGGCACCAGCATCTATTTCTTGTGACGGCCTCAGGCTGCTCCCACTCTGGCAGAAGGGAAGGAGGGTCTGTCTGTGCAGAGACCACAGAGATCACACGGCAAGAGAGGGACCAAGGGGGAGGGGGAGCGATGGAGCTTCCAAGCTCTTTTAACAACCAGTTCTCCAGGAACTAATAGAGGGGGAACTTGCTAACCCCGTCTCCTTGGAACAGCATTGATCTGTTCATGATGGATCCACCTCCATGACCCAAACAACTCCCAAGAGGCCCAACCTCCCACTCTGGGGGTTACATTTCAATGTGAGGTTTGAAGGGGTCAAACATCTAAACTAAAGCAGTTGTATCCTCAGCACGTTCTATGGTTACTACAACTGAGAAAGCAGGAGGAAGCTAGGTCTCCCGCCATCTGGGTGCTTGTCCTAAAGAGACGTTGTATGTGGTTACCTGTCAATCAAGAAATGTGAGACAATTCATATAGAGGAACTGCTATGATTAGCTTCTTATTGGTGTCTTGTCTTCCTCCAGGTAACTCCAGAAACCTGCACGTTCTGATTGGGACCTCAGTGGTCATCATCCCCTTTGCTATCCTCCTCTTCTTTCTCCTTCATCGCTGGTGTGCCAACAAAAAGAGTAAGTCTCACGAAGCAGAAGCCAGAGAGCTCAGGGCCATGTGGGGAAGCAGGATGGGAGCACTCAGGTGTGTGTTCCTCACAGACTGGATGGTCCCTGGCCCAAGGCAGGAGCCACAGAGGCAGGACTTTCTAGAGAGAGCACCAGACTCCCTGCCTCTGCCTTCAGCTCACAGACCATTGCCTGATTCTGAACCGTATCCTCACATCCCCTGCAGCCACTCACATCCAGGAGAAGGTTCCATGACAGGCAGAAAGTGGGACACAGAATCAATAGGATGGGAACTCAGAGCTATACATGGGATGGATCCTTGAGCTCAGAGAGATAGAATGTCTGAGTCTGCTGTTGGCAACTGAGGGACCTCAGGCACCTATGGCCTCCCCCTGTATGTTGGTATCTGCTTATGAAATGAGGACCCAGAAGTGCCCTCCGAGCTGTTTTGACGACTTCCGTCTTCTACAGATGCTGTTGTAATGGACCAAGAGCCTGCAGGGAACAGAACAGTGAACAGGGAGGTAGGTGCTCCTCCGCCCAGCCTCGTGGCTAGTCTTATTCCCAAAGAGTCCTGGAAAATGTGAGCACCCTCCCTCACTCAGCATTTCCCTCCCTCCAGGACTCTGATGAACAAGACCCTCAGGAGGTGACATACGCACAGTTGAATCACTGCGTTTTCACACAGAGAAAAATCACTCGCCCTTCTCAGAGGCCCAAGACACCCCCAACAGATACCAGCGTGTAACACGGAACTTCCAAATGCTGAGCGCAGATCCAAAGTTGTCTTCTGTCCACTAGCACCACAGTCAGGCCTTGATGGGATCTTCTAGGGAGACAATAGCCCTGTCTCAAAACCGGGTTGCCAGCTCCCATGTACCAGCAGCTGGACTCTGAAGGCGTGAGTCTGCATCTTAGGGCATCGCTCTTCCTCACACCACGAATCTGAACATGCCTCTCTCTTGCTTACAAATGTCTAAGGTCCCCACTGCCTGCTGGAGAGAAAACACACTTGCTTAGCCCACAATTCTCCATTTCACTTGACCCCTGCCCACCTCTCCAACCTAACTGGCTTACTTCCTAGTCTACTTGAGGCTGCGATCACACTGAGGAACTCACAATTCCAAACATATAAGAGGCTCCCTCTTAACACGGCACTTAGATACGTGCTATTCCACCTTTCCTCAGAGTATCTTTCAGCCTTCTGTCAGCAGTAAAACTTATAAATTTTTTTTATAATTTCAATGTAGTTTTCTATTCTTCAAGTAAACATGTCTGCCCTCATGGTTTCTTCAATGGGACTCTTTTCTTGCCTAAGGCTTCCGGTGTTATCATTACCACGTCCACATAACCCCATCTGTTCTCCGCTGGGTTCTCAGCCCTGGACTCTGAGCTTCTGGAAGCATGGTGGAGCCTGAATTGTCTCTGAGACTCCAATTTCCATCCAAAGATGCAGCACATAGGAGGTTCCAAGGATGGTGAATCAGATGAACAAGTGATATTCTTACTCTCTGCAGATCTGGAAAGCTGGCAGAGTCATTCCACGATGAAACATTTGTAGAGTCATAGGCCTTGTTAGTCTCATCTCCACAGGGACACGTATCAACACATCATCTTTCATACTACTATAAATAGACAGTCACTCCTCCATATCTCTGGGGTTTACACATGTTTATTGAATCAGCAATAAATCAAAAATATTTTGAGAAAAAAAATCCCCGAAGTTTCAAAAAGCAAAAAACTATGTTGAATCGACACAAATTGAGTGGCGTGTAGGCTGTGTCAGGAATTATAAGTAATCAAGAGATGATTTCATGTATACAGGAGGATGTGCATGGGTTCTATGCAATTGCTATGCTATTTTTTTTTTTTTTTTGAGACAGTCTCACTCTCTCACCCAGGCTGGAGTGCAGTGGCGTGATCTCAACTCACTGCAACCTCCGCCTTCCAGGTTCAAGCGATTCTCTTCCCTCAGCCTCCCCAGTAGCCTCCCCTAGGATTACAGGCACGTGCCACCATGCACAGATAAATTTTTTTGTGTGTATATTTTTAGTAGAGATGGGGTTTCAGAATGTTGGACCAGCTGGTCTTGAACTCCTGACCTTGTGATCTACCCAGCTCAGCCTCCCAAAGTGCTGGGATTACAGGCGTGAGCCACGGTGCCCAGCTTCACTATGCCATTTCATGCAAGGGGCTTGAGCATCTGCAGATTTTGGTATCTGAATGGGGATCCTGGAACCAATCACCCAGGTATAGTGAAGGACCATGGTATATAATTTTTATTTGTCAATCTTAAAAATAAAGCATAAAAAATTTACAACAACAAGATAAAAAATAAGAAGTGTTTTTATAGTGTGAGGATAAGTTTAGATTTATTTTTTCCTACGTGTAACCCTATGGTCCTGTGTTATTTGTTGAGAAAATATTCTATTCCACCTTAAACTACATGGCAGCCTTTGTCAACTATAAAGGGACTGTGTATCCACAGATGTATTTTAGACACAGTTTTCTGTCCAGTGGTTCTCTGTATCCCCTCTCATGAGGATGCTGCATTTTATATAAACTTATAGAACCCCTTAAAATTTGGTAACCTGAGTCCTCTGATTTGTTATTATAGGTTATTTAGTTTGCTTTTTTTTTTTTTCTTGAGACAGACTCTTCCTCTGTCACCCAAGCTGGAGTTCAGTGGCTTGAGCTCAGCTCACTGCAACCTCCGTCTCCCAGGTTCAAGCTATTCTGATGCCTCTGGTTTAGTAGTAGAAACTCAAGCAGGAAAATTAGAATGGCTTCTTGTCACAATTACTCTGATAATGTTAATAATACCTGTTAGACATTTTGCACATTACATATGAAGAAGAGTTTGAATCTCAGATAAAAACAAAAATACATCAAAAATCTTTAATGTAAGCACAGAATTCAATCATCTCGTGTATGAGAGGTTGGATCTGAGACGTCTTTTGAGTCTGGTCGTAGTGAAGGACGCAAGGTGTCAATTCTAGTGAGAACAATTTCCAGGAAGCCATGTTCCGCTCTTGAGCGAGCACCCACTGGGCCTCATGCAAGGTAGAAAGAGCCTGCGTACGTCACCCTCCCATGATGTGGTCAACATGTAAACTGCATGGGCAGGGCGCCAAATAACATCCTGTGCGCTGCTGAGCTGAGCTGGGGCGCGGCCGCCTGTCTGCACAGACAGCACCATGTCGCTCATGGTCGTCAGCATGGTGTGTGTTGGTGAGTCCTGGAAGGGCATCGAGGGAGGGAGTGCGGGGATGGAGATCGGGGCCCAGAGTTGGAGATATAGGCCTGGAAGTGGAGTTATGGGCCTAGAGATGGAGTGATGGGCCTAGAAGTGGAGATCTGGGCCTGGAGTGGAGATCTGGGCCTGGAGTGGAGATATGGGCCTGGAGGTTGAGATATGGGCCTGCAGTAGAGATATGGGCTTGTAGTGGAGACATGGGCCTGGAGATGGAGATATGGGCCTGGAGATGGAGATATGGGCCTGCAGTAGAGATAGGGGCCTGGAGTGGAGATATGGGCCTGGAGTGGAGATATGGGCCTGGAGTGGAGATATGGGCCTGGAGGTGGAGATATGGGCCTGGAGGTGGAGATATGGGCCTGGAGTGGAGATATGGGTCTGGAGGTGGAGATACGGGCCTGCAGTAGAGATATGGGCCTGGAGTGGAGATATGGGCCAGGAGTGGAGTTATGGGCCTAGAGGTGGATATCTGGGCCTGGAGTGGAGATATGGGCCTAGGAAGGAGATATGGGCCTGGGTGTGGAGATATGGGACTGGAGAGGTGATATGGGCCTGGAGTGGAGATATGGGCTTAGGGTGGAGATCTGGGCCTGGGGCGGAGATATGGGACTGGATTGGAGATAGGGGCCTAGGGTGGAGATCTGAGCCTGGATTGGCGATATGGGCCTAGGGTGGAAATATCAGCCTGGAGTGGAGATATGGGCTTGGGGTGGGGATATGGGCCTGGAAACTGGGTCTCTGCACAGCCGACAGCCCTGTTCTTGGGTGCAGGTAGGCACTGAGGGTGAGTTTAACTTCAGCCCAGGAAGGGCCTGGCTGCCAAGACTCACAGCCCAGTGGGGGCAGCAAGGGAGGCCTGGTTTGCCTGCAGATGGATGGTCCATCATGATCTTTCTTTCCAGGGTTCTTCTTGCTGCAGGGGGCCTGGCCACATGAGGGTGAGTCCTTCTCCAAACCTTCGGGTGTCATCTCCCCACATAAGAGGATTTTCCTGAAACAGGAGGGAAGTCCTGTCGGGGAGTCTCTCATAAACTAGGAAGAGAGGACCCTGGGGTGCTCAGCCCACATTTCTGACCTCGCCTCCCTGGCCTCTCAACCCCTTGGCAGAGTCAAGTTCTGTGGGGACCAGGGTTAGACTGGGGTGCTCAAAGCTGGGGTGTGTGGTTGGGAAGTGGTAGGAACAGCAGATCCTCTGAGGACAAAGGTGTTACTCACACACTTCAGCGTTTCCATGATGGTAGGGGCTGCAGTGTGGCTGCTGTCATTCTACCAGAAGAGGTGGGAAACCACAGCCATGGCCCTGACATTCCAAATCCTCTGATGGGGGCTCAGTTGTTTATTTTCGTTCAGGCATCCGCTGATATCCATTCACAAAGGACATGCCCTCCACCTCATGTCTACCCTGTGTTGTTTTATGTGAGTAATCTTACAGTATTAAAATCTAGTAGGAGTCTCTTTACTCAGCACTTGCTCAAAGTTCTCAGCTGAGGCTTTTGTTGTAGGGAGACACCATGTCTTTGCGGGATGGGTCCTTCCTTCAGCCCTGGGCACCAAGGTGTGATAGTAGCCATAGAAACGTGGAAAGCGAGGAGAATCTTCTGAGCACAGGGAGGGAAGGGCAGTTCCACATCCTCCTCTCTAAGGCGGCGCCTCCTTCTCCCCAAGGTGGTCAGGACAAGCCCTTGCTGTCTGCCTGGCCCAGCCTTGTGGTGCCTCTAGGACATGTCATTCTTCGGTGTCACTCTTATCTTGGGTTTAACAACTTCAGTCTGTAAAAGGAAGGTGGGGTGCCTGTCCCTGAGCTCTACAACAGAATATTCTGGAACAGCCTTTTCATGGGCCCTGTGACCCCCGCACACACAGGGACATACAGATGTCGGGGTTCACACACACACTCCCCCAGTGGGTGGTCAGCACCCAGCAACCCCCTGGTGATCGTGGTCATAGGTCAGAGGGCTCCTGTCTTGGATTCTCCTTGTCCCACCTCCTGAATCCCAGAGCTTCTGTTGGGCATGTCCTTGAGGGTCCCATCACGCAGGCCCTGACTGTATTTGTGGTAAAGGGGGATTGAATACAGGGAAATGGGTGCTGTGGTGGGAAGAATAATTGTCCCCAGTGATGACTACATTCTAATCCCTGGAGTCTGTGACTATTTATGTTATAGGGGAAGGGACTGAAGGGGAAGATGGAGCTCATGGGGAGACAGCCTGGACTGTCCCACTGGGCTCAGTGTAATCACAAGGGTGCACATGAAAGGAGGAGGAAGAGGGGAGTGGGGATTAGAGCAGTCCAGTGGAAGTCTTCACCAGCTTTGAAGGTGGAGGAAGGCCAAGATCCATGAATGCAGGTGGCCTATAGAGGCTGGAAAAGTCAAGGAACTGATTCTCCAGAGTCTCCAGAGGGAACAAAGCCCTGCAGATGCCTTGATTTTAGCCCAGGAAAAATAGGGTCCAATTTCTGTCTCCAGTACTGGAAGGTGTCAGTGTGGTCTCTCCTGCTGCCATGCTTCTGATAATTTTCTACAGCAGCAACAGGAAACCAACACTGGAACCCAGGTCAAGGACAAGTTAAGAAACAACCCAAGGAAAGCCAGGCATGGTGGCAGGTGCATGTAATCCTAGCGACTCAGGAGGCTGAGGGCAGGAGAATCACTTGAACCCAGGAGACAGAGGTTGCAGTGAGCCTAGACCACACCACTTCACTCCAGCCTGGGTGAAGGAGTGAGACTCTGTCTCCATAATTAATTAATTAATTAAAGAAACCAAACAAGGAGAAGGTTGGCTACCCTGAGATCAGCAAGGGTGGGATGATGATGCCACCACCAGGCTCCATCCACATAGGGAGGGGTTGATACTCCTCCAACCAGCACCAGGAGCCAGCCTATGGAAGCTGGCACCATGGAGAAGGCACAGGCATGGCAAGAGTGGCTCCCAGTCCCCACCAGGAACAGGGTGTGTGGACACTGGTGCCTGCCTTATTCATCAGTTCATACCTTCTGCCAAGGATTGCAATTCATCCAAAAGAGATTGAACCAGGCTGATAAGAGCCTGGATGTGCAGCCTATCCTGGTTCCTCTTTCACCCCCACATAAACAGCAGGAAATACATTAGTGTGAAATAGATACAACACCCCAAGAGATGAGGCTCAGCCCAGTGGGAAGGGAATCAGAGGCTACTAGAGACAGAGGGACAGAGAAGAGGGAGGGAGACAGATGGAAGGACCTGCACCAGGAGTTAAGGGCACAGAAAAGAACATGAAGACACAGAGAGGAAGGAGAGAGACAGACACCAGCAAGGGGAAGCCTCACTCATTCTAGGTGCCATGGATGGGATGATAAAGAGAGACACCTTCTAAACTCACAACCTCTCTTCCTAGGAGTCCACAGAAAACCTTCCCTCCTGGCCCACCCAGGTCCCCTGGTGAAATCAGAAGAGACAGTCATCCTGCAATGTTGGTCAGATGTCAGGTTTCAGCACTTCCTTCTGCACAGAGAAGGGAAGTTTAAGGACACTTTGCACCTCATTGGAGAGCACCATGATGGGGTCTCCAAGGCCAACTTCTCCATCGGTCCCATGATGCAAGACCTTGCAGGGACCTACAGATGCTACGGTTCTGTTACTCACTCCCCCTATCAGTTGTCAGCTCCCAGTGACCCTCTGGACATCGTCATCACAGGTGAGAGTGTCCGGACATTCTCATTGTCATTGGGATGCAGAGTGAATGATCCACGACTTGGAACCCCCAGGTAGTTGTAAGGAAGATGAGCTTGGTATTCTTATGGAGAGAGACTGACTTGCTGAGGTTTGTACCAACAGAGACAGAGAAACAGGAGACACAAGTACAGACCAGGTGTCATAACAGAGGACAGACACAGGGGCCATACAGGGAGTTAGAAAAGACAGAAAGAGTTAAAAGAGACAGACAGACAGACATGTCCCAGAGAGAGGTGTCCCTCCATGCTGACTTTGCTCACAGACCTGGCACAGGTTAGAAGTTTCATTTCTGTTTTACCTCCACAAAGTGTTCTCTACCAGGAGAACCCAAGGACACCCATATTTATGACCTGAGTTGGGCCCTGTGGCCTCAGGCCTTGTGGCACCTACAGGCCATGTTTATTCTGACACCTCTGCCTTCCATGTAATGGAGAGTAATCGTCCCAGGATATCATGGCCCCAGAACACCAACCCCTGTATGCTGTGTGAACTTGTGGTCTCCAGACTGGATTCTGTGGCTCACATTCCAAATAACCCCACATATGAAAGGATCACTGAGAGGCACAGAGAAAAATCAGGAACACCAAAAAGCAAAGACATAAACACACAGAGAATGAGCCAGAGGAAGGAGATTGAGAGACTCACAGACACATAAAGAGAGAGAAAAGAGGGCAGAGGAGTGGTGAGAATGATGGCAGGGAGCAGAGAAAAGCACTAAAATTAGAGTCCTGAGAGAGAGGCACAAGGACATAGAAACATGGAGATGTGGGGATGAATTGCAGAGATTCCAAAGAGAACTAGAGAGACCGAGAGGCAGAGCAAGACAGATGATAGATGGATAGATATAGATAGATGATAAATAGGTAGATGATAGATAATAGGTTAAAGATACATAGATGATGATTGATTGATTCATTAATAGATAATACATAGAGATGATGATGATGAAGACAGATAATACGTACAGATAGAGAGGCAGACAGAAATCATAGAGAGAGAGATGATACATACATATAAATAACAGATGATTGATGGATAGATAGACAAGTGATAGATACATAGATGATATATAGATATAGATGACAGGTAGAGAATTTGTAGATAGGCACCGAATAGATAAATAGATAGATCGACAGATAATAGATAGAAATATGCAGAAAGTTATGAACAGGACACAACGTGAGAAACTTAGAATTTAAAAAAGTAACATCAAGTCAACCAATCCAAGGAGAGTCAGAGAGAATAAAAGAATCCAAAAAGGGAAAACATATCTAGAGGTGGGGAAGCGAGGTCAGAGACCTAGAGAGACAGAGAAGGTGGAAGAAGGAAATAGACATGAAGAGAGATGGGGTGGAGGGTGAGAGAGAGAGAGAGAGAGAGCATTAGGTCATAGAGCAGGGGAGTGAGTTCTCAGCTCAGGTGAAGGGAGCTGTGACAAGGAAGATCCTCCGTAAGGAAAATGCCTCTTCTCCTCCAGGTCTATATGAGAAACCTTCTCTCTCAGCCCAGCCGGGCCCCACGGTTCTGGCAGGAGAGAGCGTGACCTTGTCCTGCAGCTCCCGGAGCTCCTATGACATGTACCATCTATCCAGGGAGGGGGAGGCCCATGAACGTAGGTTCTCTGCAGGGCCCAAGGTCAACGGAACATTCCAGGCCGACTTTCCTCTGGGCCCTGCCACCCACGGAGGAACCTACAGATGCTTCGGCTCTTTCCGTGACTCTCCATACGAGTGGTCAAACTCGAGTGACCCACTGCTTGTTTCTGTCACAGGTGAGGAAACCCCATATCTGTCTCATGTCCTATGATCCTAGAGCCTTAGCTGAGGAGCTTCCTGCTGATGATGGAGAGAAGCATGGACAGATGCAGAGAGAAGACGAAGCTTGGGTGTGAGGGAGGGATCAGGGCACAGGATGGCAGACAGGGCACCTCCAAACCCTCCTACACGGCCTGCATGAAGGCCCGCGGCCAGGGCTCCAGGCACACAGGCAGATGGAGAAAACGGTCAGGAGAGACCCAGAGGAGAGAGACTGGGCTCAGTTTGGGAAGATCAGAGGTTCCCTCAGCCCCTCAACATTACCCATTTCCCAGAAGCCCATCCTGGCCTCTCACCCACACAGGGATGTCATCACCAGCAACCCCTACACCCTTTACTTTTGTTTGAAGAAATATTTATTGAGGATAAATATACCTATATAGCTTACCACCTTTAACATTTTTTTTTTTTTTGAGGCAGAGTCTAGCTCTGTCCCCTATGCTGGAGTGCAGTGGCACAATCTCAGCTCACTGCAACTTCCGCCTCCTGGGTTCAAGTGATTCTCCTGCTTCAGCCACCTGAGTAGCTGGTGCTACAGGCGCGCACCACCACGCCAGGCTACTTTTTGTATTTTTAGTAGAGAGGGGGTTTCACCATGTTGGTCGAGCTGGTCTCCAACTCCTGACCACGTGATCCACCCGCATCTGCCTCCCAAAGTGCTGGGATTACAGGCATGAGCCACCACGCCCAGCCACATTTACCATTTTTAAGTGTAAAGTCTAGTGGTCATAAATACATTTATATATATATATATATATATATATATACACACACACACACATATATAAACATATATATATATATATATATATATATATATATATTTTTTTTTTTTTTTTTTTTTTTACCCTCCACCCTTTTATTCCTGGCCTCTGGAAGCCACCATTCTACTCTCTACCTTCATGAGATCCACCTTTTAGCTCTGTATATGGGTGAGAAATGGGAATCTTTGTAATGACTTCCAGTTCCATCCATGTGGCTGCAAATATCAGGATGTTATTCTTTCTATGGATGAGTAGTCTCCACTGTGCGTATGTACTACATTCTCTCTATCCATTCATCCACTGATGGGCAGGTAGGTTGACTCCACATCTTGGCTACTGTGAACAGTGCTGCACCAATCATACGAGTGCAGATATCACTTCGATATATTGATTTACTTTCCTTTGGATATAAACCCAGTAGTGAAATTGCTGGATACTATGAAAGTTCTCTTTTTAGTTATTCGTTTGTTGTTTTGTTTTTGTTTTTGAGACAGTTTCCCTCTGTGCCCAGGCTGGAGTACAAGTGAAGTCATCTTGGCTCATTGCAACCTCCGCCTCCTGGGTTCAAATGATTTTCCTGCCTCAGCCTCCCTAGTAGCTGGGATTACAGGTGCACGCCACCATGCCTGGCTACTTTTTGTTTTTTTTAGTATAGATGGGGTTTCCCCATGTTGGCTGGGCTGCTCTCAAACTCATGACCTCAACTGAGGTGCCCGCCTCGGTCTCCCAAAGTGCCGGGATTACAGGCATGATCCACCTCACCCAACCTCTTTTTAGTTCTTTAAAGGACTTCCACACTTTTCTCCGTAAAGGCTGTACTAATTTACACTCCTACCAACAGGGTATTAGGGTTCTCCTTTCTCTACCACTTTGGCAGGATTTCCTTTGCCTGTCTTGCAGCTAAAAGCCATTTTATTTTATTTCATTTTATTTTGAGATGGAGTTTCGCTCTTGTCACCCAGGCTGGAGTGCAGTGGTGCGATCTCGGCTCACCACAACCTCCACCTCCCAGGTTCAAGCGATTCTCCTGCCTCAGCCTCCCGAGTAGCTGGAATTACAGGCACACGCCACCACGCCCAACTAAATTTTGTATTTTTAGTAGAGACAGTGTTTCTTCATGTGGGTCAGACTGGTCTCAAACTCCCGACCTTATGAGGTTCACCCACCTCAGGCTCTCAAAGGTCTAGGATGACAGACGTGAGCCACCACGCCCGGCCTAAAATCCATTTTAATGGGGTGAGATGAAAACTCACTTTGATTTTAATTTGTGTTTCTCTGATGATGAGTGAAACTGAGCACTTTTTAGTATGTGGGGAAATTTCATGTGTTTTGCTCCTTTTTCAATTAAATCGTTTGTTTTATTGAGTTGTTTGAGCTTCTTATATTTCTAGTTATTAATCCCATCTCAGATGCATAGTTTGCACATATTTGCTCCCAATCTGTGGGTTGTCTCTTCACTTTGTTGGTTTATTTTTAGCGGTGCAGAAGTTGCTTAGTTTGAGGTAATCCCAATGGTCTATTTTTGCTTCGATTACTTGTGTTTTGAAGGTTTAAAACAAAATGTCTTCCTTCAGACAAATGTCCTGGAGCATTTCCCCAATATTTTCTTCTACGTGTTTCATAGGTTCAGGCCTTAGACTCACATCTTTAATCCATTTTCATTTGAGTTTTGTGTATAGTGACAGGTAGAGGTGCAGTTTCATTCCTCTGCATGTAGATGTCCAGGTTTCCCTGCACTGTTTATTGAAAAGACTGTCCTTTCCTGATTGTGAGTTCTTGGCACCTTTGTCAAAGTCCATTGGATGGGCTGGGCATGGTGGCTGACACCTGCAATTTCAGCACTTTGGGAGCCCAAGGCGGGTGGATCACCTGAGGCCAGGAGTTCAAGATTAGTCTGGCCGACGTGATGAAACATTGTCTCCACTAAAAATATAAAAATTAGCTGAGCATGGTGGTCAGCACCTGTAATACCACTACTCAGGAGTTTGAGGCCAGAGAATTGATTGAACCCAGGAGGCTGTGGTGGCAGTGAACCGAGATTGCACCTCTGCACTCCAGCCTGGGTGACAGAGCGAGACTCCATCTCAAAAGAAAAAAGAAAAAAACATTGGAGGTAAATGCATGGATTATATCTGTGTTCTTCATTCTGCTCCATTGTTCTACGTGCCTTTCTTTATGCCAATGTGATGCTGTTTTGCTTACTACAGCTCTGTAACATATTTTGAGATCAGGTAGTGTGATGCTCCTGTTTTCTCTTTATACCTTGAAGTCTCAAGACAGTGGGCGTCACATACAAAAATTACGGAAAAAAGGATCCCAGGACTCCCAGGGCCCAATATTAGATAACAGAGTGTTGGCCATGAACCAACCTCAAAGATTTCCATTGAGTAGAGGACAGACACCCTCATTTCCTCACCTCTCTCCTGTCTCGTGTTCTAGGAAACCCTTCAAATAGTTGGCCTTCACCCACTGAACCAAGCTCCGAAACCGGTGAGTACAGAACCCTCTTATATCCGCTTTTGGAAACCTGGGGAGGTAGAAACCTTCGATGCAGGCATTGACTCAGCATCTCGCAGCTCTGACATTGTACGCCTGTCTTCTACCATCTCCGAACTCCAGATACTCCAACAGCGAAAGGGATCTGGGCCCAACCTAGGGCTCAGTGAAATCTCTTAATCTCTCATTTTATGGAGCTGAGACCTCCTACAAGCTAGAAGAATGATTGCCAATCTGACATCCTTCTCAGGAAAAATGCAATGTTTGTTCTGCCTGCATTCCTAACTGGAGGATAAATTCCTGGGGGCTTGAGAGAGGGAAGGGAAGGGAACATCTGATGAGGGCGAGGTGTTTTAGAGAAGTTCCACTTGCCAAGGAATGAATTACTGTTGGTCATGAAGCAACCCTGGCTGACTCAGCAGAGCAACAGCCTTGCCGTAACAGAGAACGGAGCTCATGCACGCACACTTCGACTCACTGACTCATTCAGCCACGGCCCCATGCTCAGGCTGTGCAGTGCGGAACCTTTTCCTATTGTTGCCATAACAAATTTCCACAAGATTCGTGGGTGAAAACAAAACGGTTTTTTAATTATCTTACAGTGCTGTAGCTCAAAGTAGGAAGTGCATCTTACTGGGCTAAAATCAAGGTGACAGCAAGGCTGCCTTCCCTCTGAGGATTCCAGGCAAGAATCTGCTTCTCACTTATCCCAGCTTCTAAAGGCTCCCAGTTCCTTGGCTCCTGTTCCCCTTCCTCCTTCCTCAAAGCCCACAAAGACTGGTCACATCTCACATGGCATCACTCAGTGCCTTCTTCCTTACCACACCTCTTTCTCTGAATGCTGCTCTCCCTTCTTCCTTATCTTTTGAAAACTTGGGGATTCTATTGGGTTCACCAAGATGAAAATCCCTCATAATCTCCTGGAAATCATCCAGGATACCCTTGTTTTAAGTTCAGCTGATTAGCAACCGCAATTCCATCTACAATCTTCATTCCTCCTTTCCATGTAAAATAACATATTCACAAGCTATGGAGGCTAGGACAGGGACATTTTGGGGTGGGACAGCATTCTCCTGCCTTCCACAAACGGTGAACAAGATGCATTTGGCTTCTGCCCTTGGGACACTGATATTGCAGATGGTTAAATGGGAGGGCAGAAAATGAATGCACAAGTGGATCTATAAATGAATGATCCATTGGGAAGCATCTGTGCATGAAATCTATTTTTTGTTTGTTCTTTTGTTTATTGAGACAGAGTCGCCCTCTGTCTTCCAGGCTACAGTGCAGTGTCACGATCTTGGCTCACTGCAACCTGCGTCTCCTGGATTCAAGTGATTCTCCTGCCTCCGCCTCTCGAGTAGCTGGGATTACAGGCAACTGCCACCGTGCCCGGCTAATTCTTTTTGTATATTTTTTGTAGAGAGGATGTTTCACCACGTTGGCCAAGCTTGTCTGAAACTCCCAACCTCAAGTGATCCGACCGTCTCAGCATGCCAAAGTAATGGGACTACAGGCGTGAGCCACTGTGCCCAGCCAGAATTCAAAATCAATAATAGATAATGCTGAGTGTATGATTTCAGGTGACAAAGAAGGTCTCACTATTCAGATATTTGTGACATTAATGAAAAACACGGATTGAACCCCTGAAAGATTGGCGGAAGGATTTTGCACACACAGCTGTCAGCCGTGAAGGCACAAAGGTGAAAACAATCTGATGTGGAAGGAAGAGGCTCTGCCTCAAATGCTGGGAATGATGTGGGGAGAATGACAAGACGACTGTAGAGAGACGGAGAGCACACTGGGTACACAGGAAACTAAGGAGCAACAAGGAGTGTGTGTTTGACACTCACAGCCATTGGATTCACCTCGGGGTAACCAGGAATCCCTACATGATTAATATGACTGACATGAAAATAAGGGAGGCTCAGTTGCATAACTGGAATCTAGGAGACCGTGGAAAAGGCAATTGCCACCCCACTGGTGAAATGTGGTGCTGATTTAGACACTAAATGAATGAAGTAGATGGATATAAGATATGTTTGTGAGGTAGAATCATTGACTGGAAACGCTTACTGGGTTTGATTTTCCTACTTGTTTAATCCTCGCTTAATTAATTTCTTTCTGAGATTTATTCATCCTACACATAAATCAATACCTGGCAAAGGAGTGACAGATATATGAGTGGTGGTGGAAATGAAGAGACTTATTATAGCATAATATACAAGTCTGTGAACAGTGGCTCACGCCTGTAACCTAGCACTGCAGGAGGCCAAGGTGGGTGGATTCCATGAAGTCAGGAGTTCCAGACCAGCCTGGCCAACGTGGTGAAACCCTATCTCTACTAAAAATACAAAAATTAGCCGAGCACGATGGTGCATCCCTGTAATCCCAGCTCCTATTCTGGAGGATGAAGCAGGAGAATGACTTCAACCCAGTAGGTGGAGGTTGCAGTGAGTGGAGATTGCATCACTGCACTCCAGCCTGGGGGACACAAGGAGACTCTATCTCAAAAAATAAAAATAAGAAATACATAAATATAATAAAACACACACGAATGACAAAGGCACCTGAATTCCAATCATCGTTTTTCTATTTCTCTATAATTACTTCTTTGATCCTTTATCTTATCCATTAGGCAATGAGCTTAAAACCTCTTCCCTATTTGGCTTTCTGTGAGAATGAGATCACATAGAAAATGTGAAAGCCCTCAGAATCCTCCAGCACAGATCGTGGAATAGAGAAAGTGCTCTGTTCATCGCAACAAAAAACTTGCCCACTCACCCAAATCCCCCACCTCACCCCTACTTCCAATCACCTGTGGAGATTCAGATAGGCTATGGGGAGGTAAACATTGATACTCCTTGGAGTGAGTCCAGATCTTGGAATCAGAGATCAGTGCCAGCACTAGCTCCTGCTCCCCTTTCCTACTAATTCACAGGAGGACAGGTGGTATTGAAGCAATAGATGGCCGAGGGGGTGGTCCTTCCCCCAGCCTCTCGGGTAGAACAGCAGCCTAACATGTGTCTCCCGAGATCACAAAGAGTAGCACGTTTCACACGGGCTTCAACACTATTTCCTGGCCATTTGACATAAGAGAATTCTACTTAGCTTTTTTTATCTTGATTTCACTTTTGTTTCCTTTTCTTGGAGAATGCAAGTTGTTTGATTCAAGAATGCTGTGGATGTAGAAATCCTAAAGCACATTCGCTGTGTATCAATCCCAGTGCAGTCTTCCCAGAGAAGACTCTAAATACCTCCTGGACTGCACCTGGGCTTATGCCAATTCCTATCACTCACCGTCACTCCAGGGAGACAGAACACACAGAGAATACATTACACAGGCAGGTTCATTACTAACAGATAAGCAGCGAGTGACAACAGAAACCTACATTTCAATGTGAGCCAGTCCCTCAAGGCTCAGAAAAGCTACTCGGGACATATGGAGTCACCCCATTTGCAGTGTAGCTGGGGGAAGCCAGAGAGCAGCCCAGCCTGGGTTTTGTACTGTGGAGCCACAGGAAGCACTCAGCTAAAGCACTGCATGACGTCCTCCTCCAGGAAGAACAGGAAGACAGCCCAGGCTGTTCTGAGACGTTCCTCCTGATCTCAGGACGTTGCTGTCTTAGTCCATTTTTGTTGCTCTAAAGGAACACTTGAGCCTGGGTAACTTCTAGAGAAAAGAGATTGGTTTGCCTCACAGTTCTGCAGGCTGTACTGGAAGCGTGGCACCAGCATCTATTTCTCGTGACGGCCTCAGGCTGCTCCCACTCTGGCAGAAGGGAAGGAGGGTCTGTCTGTGCAGAGACCACAGAGATCACACGGCAAGAGAGGGAGCAAGGGGGAGGGGGAGCGATGGAGCTTCCAAGCTCTTTTGAACAACCAGCTCTCCAGGAACTAATAGAAGGGGAACTTGCTAACCCCGTCTCCTTGGGACAGCATTGGTCTGTTCATGATGGATCCACCTCCATGACCCAAACACCTCTCAAGAGGCCCAACCTCCCACAGTGGGGGTGAAATTTCAATGTGAGGTTTGAAGGGGTCAAACATCTCAACTAAAGTAGTTGTATCCTCAACACGTTCTATGGTTACTATGAGAGCTATAACTGAGAAAGCAGGAGAAAGCTGGGTCTCCCTCCATCTGGGTGCTTGTCCTAAAGGGGTGTTGTATGTGGTTACCTGTCAATCAAGAAATGTGAGACAATTCATAAAGAGGAACTGCTATGATTAGCTTCTTATTGGTGTCTCCTCTTCTTCCAGGTAACCCCAGACACCTGCATGTTCTGATTGGGACCTCAGTGGTCATCATCCTCTTCATCCTCCTCCTCTTCTTTCTCCTTCATCGCTGGTGCTGCAACAAAAAAAGTAAGTCTCACGAAGCAGAGGCCAGAGAGCTCAGGGCCATGTGGGGAAGCAGGATGGGAGCACTCAGGTGTGTGTTCCTCACAGACAGGATGGTCCCTGGCCCAAGGCAGCAGCCACAGAGGGAGGACTTTCTAGAGAGAGCACCAGACTCCCTGTCCCTGCCTTCAGCTCACAGACCATTGCCTGATTCTGAACTGTATCCTCATGTCCCCTGCAGCCACTCACATCCAGGAGAAGGTTCCATGACAGGCAGAAAGTGGGAGACAGAATCAATGGGATGGGAACTCAGAGCTATTCATGGGATGGGTCCTTGAGCTCAGAGAGATAGAATGTCTGAGTCTGCTGTTGGCAACTGAGGGACCTCAGGCTCCTATGGTCTCCCCCTGTATGTTGGTATCTGCTTATGAAATGAGGGCCCAGAAGTGCCCTCTGAGCTGTTTTGTTGACTTCCGTCTTCTACAGATGCTGTTGTAATGGACCAAGAGCCTGCAGGGAACAGAACAGTGAACAGGGAGGTAGGTGCTCCTCGGCCCAGCCTCGTGGCTAGTGTTATTCCCAAAGAGTCCTGGAAAATGTGAGCACCCTCCCTCACTCAGCATTTCCCTCTCTCCAGGACTCTGATGAACAAGACCCTCAGGAGGTGACATATGCACAGTTGAATCACTGCGTTTTCACACAGAGAAAAATCACTCGCCCTTCTCAGAGGCCCAAGACACCCCCAACAGATATCATCGTGTACACGGAACTTCCAAATGCTGAGCCCTGATCCAAAGTTGTCTCCTGCCCATGAGCACCACAGTCAGGCCTTGAGGGGATCTTCTAGGGAGACAACAGCCCTGTCTCAAAACTGGGTTGCCAGCTCCAATGTACCAGCAGCTGGAATCTGAAGGCGTGAGTCTGCATCTTAGGGCATCGCTCTTCCTCACACCACAAATCTGAACGTGCCTCTCCCTTGCTTACAAATGTCTAAGGTCCCCACTGCCTGCTGGAGAGAAAACACACTCCTTTGCTTAGCCCACAATTCTCCATTTCACTTGACCCCTGCCCACCTCTCCAACCTAACTGGCTTACTTCCTAGTCTACTTGAGGCTGCAATCACACTGAGGAACTCACAATTCCAAACATACAAGAGGCTCCCTCTTAACACGGCACTTAGACACGTGCTGTTCCACCTTCCCTCATGCTGTTCCACCTCCCCTCAGACTAGCTTTCAGCCTTCTGTCAGCAGTAAAACTTATATATTTTTTAAAATAATTTCAATGTAGTTTTCCCTCCTTCAAATAAACATGTCTGCCCTCATGGTTTAGGTAATGGGACTCTTTTCTTGCCTAAGGCTTCCGGTGTTATCAGTACCATGTCCATATAATCCCATCTGTTCTCCACCGGGTTCTCACCTCTGGACTCTGAGCTTCTGGAAGCAGTGTGGAGCCTCATTTGTCTCTGGGACTCCAATTTCCATCCAAAGATGCAGCACATAGGAGGTTCCAAGGATCGGGAATCACATGAACAAGTGACATTGTTACTCTCTGCAGACCTGGAAAGCTGGCAGAGTCATTCCACGATGAAACATTTGTAGAGTCATAGGCCTTGTTAGTCTCATCTCCATGGGGACACATATCAACACATCATCTTTCATACTATAAATATACGGTCACTCCTCCGTATCTGTGGGGTTTACAGGTCTTTATTGAACAAAGTATAAATCAAAAATATTCAGAGAAAATATCCACAGAGTTCCAAAACTCATAACTATGTTGAATGGACACAAATGAAGCTGTGTGTAGGCTGTATCAGGAATTATAAGTAATCAAGAGATGATTTCATGTATACAGGAGGATGTGCATATGTTATTTGCAAGCGCTGTGCCATTTCATATAAGAGGCTTGAGCATCTACAGATTTTGGTATCTGAGTGGAGATCTCGAAACCAATCACCCACGAATAGTGAAGGATGACCGTATATGACTTTTATTTCTCAAATTTAAATATAAATCAAAAAATGTACAACTAGATAAAAACTAAGAAGTGTTTTTATAGTGTGAGTTAGATTTATTTTTTACTAGGTGTAACCCATTGGTTTAATATTATTTATTGAGAAGACATTCTATGCCACCTTAAACCACACGGCAGCCTTTGTCAACTCTAAAGGGACTGTGTGTACATGGATGTATTTTAGACAGTTTCTGCTAAGGGGCTGTCTGTGTCCACACACTTGATGATGCTACACTTTATGTAGCCTTATAGAACCCTTTAAATTTAGTAGCCAGAGCCCTCTAATTTGTTATTATAGGCTATTTGCTTTTTTTTTTCTTGAGGCGGAGTCTTGCTCTGTCGCCCAGGCTGGACTGCAGTGACACAATCTCAGCTCACTGCAACCTCCGCCTCCCAGGTTCAAGCGATTCTCGTGCCTCAGCCTCTTGAGTAGCTGGCGTTACAGGTGCCTGCCACCAGGCATGGCTAATTTTTGGATTTTTAGCAGAGACACGGTTTCACTATGTTGGCCAGGCTGCTCTCAATCCCCTCATCTCAGTTGATCCGCCCACCTCGGCTTCCCGACGTGCTGGGGAAACTTGATTTTCTATAGCATTATGTTACTGGATATTTCTGTAAAATTTAAAATGAGGGAGGCAGAGAGACAGAGAGAGATCAAACTCCAGAGTTGGGACTCTGGAATCTTGGGTCATGAGACAAATTTTAGATTAAACTACAAAACTCCAGAATTTACAGGTGTGGTTTTTGCTGATAAAGTACAATTCTAACATTGTAAATAATTGCATAATCCTTCCCTGGGAATTTAAATCATTTTAACTGGTTCTGCTGTAATACTAGAAATACAAGCATGAAAAATTCTAATGGTTTATTAGTCACAATGACTCTGAAAACCTTAATAATACCTATTAAATATTTTGCATATTACACATGAAGAAGAGTTTGAATCTCAGATAAAAACAATAAAAATACATGAAAAGTCTTTCACGTTAGCACAGATTTTAGGCATCTCGTGTTCAGGAGGTTGGATCTGAGACGTGTTTTGAGTTGGTCATAGTGAAGGACGCTAGGTGTAAATTCTAGTGAGAACAATTTCCAGGAAGCCGTGTTCCGCTCTTGAGCGAGCACCCACTGGGCCTCATGCAAGGTAGAATGAGCCTGCGTACGTCACCCTCCCATGATGTGGTCAACATGTAAACTGCATGGGCAGGGCGCCAAATAACATCCTGTGCGCTGCTGAGCTGAGCTGGGGCACGGCCGCCTGTCTGCACCGGCAGCACCATGTCGCTCACGGTCGTCAGCATGGCGTGTGTTGGTGAGTCCTGGAAGGGAATAGAGGAAGGGAGTGTGGGGTTGGAGATCTGGGCCCAGAGGTGGAGATATAGGCCTGGAGGTGGAGTTGTGGGCCTGGAGTGGAGATCTGGGCCTGGAGTGGATATATGGGCCTAGAGATGGAGTGATGGGCCTAGAAGTGGAGATCTGGGCCTGGAGTGCCGATAGGAACCTGGAGGGGAGATAGGAGCCTGGAGTGGAGATATGGGCCTGGAGGTGGAGTTATAGGCCTATAGTAGAGATATGGGCCTGGAGTGGAGATTTGGGCCAGGAGTGGAGATATGGGCCTAGAGGTGGATATCTGGGCCTAGAGTGGAAATATGGGCCTAGGATGGAGATATGGGCCTGGTTGTGGAGATATGGGACTGGAGAGGAGATATGGGCCTAGAGTGGAGATATGGGCTTGGGGTGGAGATCTGGGCCTGGGGTGGAGATATGGGCCTGGAGGTGGAGTTACGGGCCTTCAGTAGAGATATGGGCCTGGGGTGGAGATATGGGCTTGGGGTGGAGATCTGGGCCTGGAGTGGAGATATGGGCCTGGAGGTGGAGTTACTGGCCTTCAGTAGAGATATGGGCCTGGTGTGGAGATATGGGCCTGGATTGGAGATATGGGCCTAGGTTGGAGATCTGAGCCTGGAGTGGAGATATGGGCCTGGATTGGAGATATGGGCTTACAGTGGAGATCTTGGCCTGGATTGGCGATATGGGCCTGGATTGGCGATATGGGCCTATGATGGAAATATCGGCCTGGAGTGGAGATATGGGCCTGGAGTGGAGATACAGGCCTAGGGTGGAAATATTGGCCTGGAGTGGAGATATGGGCTTGTGGTGGGGATATGGGCTTGTGGTGGGGATCTGGGCTTGGAGGCTGGGTCTCTGCACAGCCGACAGCCCTGTTCTTGGGTGCAGGTAGGCACTGAGGGTGAGTTTAACTTCAGTCCAGGAAGGGCCTGCCTACCAAGACTCACAGCCCAGTGAGGGCAGCAAGGGAGGGCTGGTTTGCCTGCAGATGGATCGTCCATCATGATCTTTCTTTCCAGGGTTCTTCTTGCTGCAGGGGGCCTGGCCACATGAGGGTGAGTCCTTCTCCAAACCTTAGGGTGTCATCTCCCCACATAAGAGGATTTTCCTGAAACAGGAGGGAAGTCCTGTCAGGGAGCCTCTCATAAACTAGGAAGAGGGGACCCTGGGGTGCTCGGCCCACAGTTCCGACCTCGCCTCCCTGGCCTTTCATTCCCTTGGCAGAGTCAAGTTCTGTGGGGACCAGGGTTAGACTGGGGTGCTCAAAGCTGGGGTGCGTGGTGGGGAAGTGGTAGGAACAGCAGATCCTCTGAGGACAAAGGTGTTACTCACACTTCAGCGTTTCCATGACGGTAGGGGCTGCAGTGTGGCTGCTGTCACTCCACCAGAAGAGGTGGGAAACCACAGCCATGGCCCTGACATTCCAAATCCTCTGATGGGGGCTCAGTTGCTTATTTTCATTCAGGCATCTGCTGATATTCCATTCTCAAAGACATGCCCTCCACCCCATGTCTACCCTGTGTTGTTTTATGTGAGTAATCTTACAGTATTAAAATCTAGTAGGAGTCTCTTACTCAGCACTTGCTCAAAGTTCTCAGCTGACACTTTTGTTGTAGGGAGACACCTTGTGTTTGCGGGATGGGTCCTTCCTTTAGCCCTGGGCACCAAGGTGTGATAGCAGCCATAGAAACTTGGAAAGCGAGGAGAATCTTCAGAGCACAGGGAGGGAGGGGTGGCTCCACATCCTCCTCTCTAAGGCGGTGCCTCCTTCTCCCCAAGGTGGTCAGGACAAGCCCTTGCTGTCTGCCTGGCCCAGCTCTGTGGTGCCTCCAGGACATGTGATTCTTCGGTGTCATTCTTATCTTGGGTTTAACAACTTCAGTCTGTAAAAGGAAGATGGGGTGCCTGGCACTGAGCTCTACAACAGAATATTCTGGAAGAGCCTTTTCATGGGCCCTGTGACCCCAGCACACACAGGGACGTACAGATGTCGGGGTTCACACCCACACTACCCCAGTGGGTGGTCGGCACCCAGCAACACCCTGGTGATCATGGCCACAGGTCAGAGGGCTCCTGTCTTGGATTCTCCTTTCCCACCTCCTGAATCCCAGAGCTTCTGGTGGGCGTGTCCTTGAGGGTCCCATCACCCAGGCCCTGACTATATTTGGGGTAAAGGGGGATTGAATACAGGGAAATGGGTGCTGTGGTGGGAAGAATAATTGTCCCCAGTGATGACTACATTCTAATCCCTGGAGTCTGTGACTATTTATGTTATAGGGGAAGGAACTGAAGGGGAAGATGGAGCTCAGGTTGTTGATGAGTTGACCTTGAGATGGGGAGACAGCCTGGACTGTCCCGCTGGGCTCAGTGTAATCACAAGGGTCCACATGAAAGGAGGAGGAAGAGGGGAGTGGGGATTAGAGCAGCGCAATGGGAGACTCCACCAGCTTTGAAGGTGGAGGAAGGCCAGGAGCCATGAATGCAGGTGGCCTGTAGAGGTTGGAAAAGTCAAGGAAATGATTCTCCAGAGTCTCCAGAGGGAACGAAGCCCTGCAGATGCCTTGATTTTAGCCCAGGAAAAACAGGGTCCTATTTCTGTCTCCAGTAGTGAAATGGGTCAGTGTGCTCTCTCCTGCTGCCATGCTTCTGATAATTTTCTACAGCAGCAACAGGAAACCAACACTGGAACCCAGGTCAAGGACAAGGTAAGAAACAACACAAGGATAGCCGGGTGTGGTGGCAGGCGCATGTAATCCTAGCGACTTGGGAGGCTGAGGGCAGGAGAATCACTTGAACCCAGGAGACAGAGGTTGCAGTGACCCTAGACCACACCACTTCACTCCAGCTGGGGTGAAGGAGTGAGACTCTGTCTCCATAATTAATTAATTAATTAAAGGAACCAAACAAGGGGAAGGTTGGCTACACCGAGATGAGCAAGTGTGGGATGATGATGCCACCACCAGGCTCCATCCACATAGGGAGGGGTTGATACTCCTCAAACCAGCACCAGGAGCCAGCCTATGGAAGCTGGCACCATGGAGAAGGCACAGGCATGGCAAGAGTGGCTCCCAGTCCCGACCAGGAACAGGGTGTGTGGACACTGGTGCCTGCCTTATTCATCAGTTCATACCTACTGCCAAGGATTCCAATTCATCCAAAAGAGATTGAACCAGGCTGATAAGAGGCTGGATGTGCAGCCTATCCTGGTTCCTCTTTCACCCCCACATAAACAGCAGGAAAGACATTAGTGTGAAATAGATACAACACCCCAAGAGATGAGGCTAAGCCCAGTGGGAAGGGAATCAGAGGCGACTAGAGACAGAGGGACAGAGAAGAGGGAGGGAGACAGATGGAAGGACCTGCACCAGGAGTTATGGGCACAGAAAAGAACATGAAGACACAGAGAGGAAGGAGAGAGACAGACACCAGCAAGGGGAAGCCTCACTCATTCTAGGTGCCATGGATGGGATGATAAAGAGAGACACCTTCTAAACTCACAACCTCTCTTCCTAGGAGTCCACAGAAAACCTTCCCTCCTGGCCCACCCAGGTCCCCTGGTGAAATCAGAAGAGACAGTCATCCTGCAATGTTGGTCAGATGTCAGGTTTCAGCACTTCCTTCTGCACAGAGAAGGGAAGTTTAACGACACTTTGCACCTCACTGGAGAGCACCATGATGGGGTTTCCAAGGCCAACTTCTCCATCGGTCCCATGATGGAAGACCTGGCAGGGACCTACAGATGCTACGGTTCTGTTACTCACTCCCCCATCAGTTGTCAGCTCCCAGTGACCCTCTGGACATCGTCATCACAGGTGAGAGTGTCCGGACATTCTTCTCATTGTCATTGGGATGCAGAGTGAATGATCCACGACTTGGAACCCCCAGGTAGTTGTAAGGAAGATGAGCTTGGTATTCTTATGGAGAGAGACTGACTTGGTGAGGTCTGTACCAACAGAGACAGAGAAACAGGAGACACAAGTACAGACCAGGTGTCATAACAGAGGACAGACACAGGGGCCATACCGGGAGTTAGAAAAGACAGAAGGAGTTAAAGGAGACAGACAGACAGACATGTCCCAGAGAGAGGTGTCCCTCCATGCTGACTTTGCTCAGAGACCTGGCACAGGTTAGAAGTTTCATTTCTGTTTTACCTCCACAAAGTGTTCTCTACCAGGAGAACCCAAGGACACCCATATTTCTGACCTGAGTTGGGCCCTGTGGCCTCAGGCCTTGTGGCACCTACAGATGCCGTGTTTATTCTGACACCTCTGCCTTCCATGTAATGGAGAGTAACCGTCCCAGGATATCATGGCCCCAGAACACCAACTCCTGTATGCTGTGTGAACTTGTGGTCTCCAGACTGGATTCTGAGGCTCACATTCCAAATAACCCCACATATGAAAGGATCACTGAGAGGCACAGAGAGAAATCAGGGACACCAAAAAGCAAAGACATAAACACACAGAGAATGAGCCAGAGGAAGGAGATTGAGAGACTCACAGACACATAAAGAGAGAGAAAAGAGGGCAGAGGAGTGGTGAGAATGATGGAAGGGAGCAGAGAAAAGCACTAAAATTAGACTCCTGAGGGAGAGGCACAAGGACATAGAAAGATGGAGATGTGGGGATGAATTGCAGAGATTCCAAAGAGAACTAGAGAGACCGAGAGGCAGAGCAAGACAGATGATAGATGGATAGATATAGATAGATGATAAATAGGTAGATGATAGATAATAGGTTAAAGATACATAGATGATGATTGATTGATTCATTAATAGATGAGACATAGAGATGATGATGATGAAGACAGATAGATAATACATAGAGATAGAGAGGCAGACAGAAGTCATAGAGAGAGAGATGATACATAGATATAGATAACAGATGATTGATGGATAGATAGACAAGTGATAGATACATAGATGATATATAGATATAGATGACAGGTAGAGAATTTGTAGATAGGCACCGAATAGATAAATAGATAGATCGATAGATAATAGATAGAAATATGCAGAAAGTTATGAACAGGACACAAAGTGAGAAACTTAGAATTTAAAAAAGTAACATCAAGTCAACCAATCCAAGGAGAGTCAGAGAGAATAAAACAATCCAAAAAGGGAAAACATATCTAGAGGTGTGGAAGCGAGGTCAGAGACCTAGAGAGACAGAGAAGGTGGAAGGAGGAAATAGACATGAAGAGAGATGGGGTGGAGGGTGAGAGAGAGAGAGAGAGAGAGCATTAGGTCATAGAGCAGGGGAGTGAGTTCTCAGCTCAGGTGAAGGGAGCTGTGACAAGGAAGATCCTCCGTAAGGAAAATGCCTCTTCTCCTTCCAGGTCTATATGAGAAACCTTCTCTCTCAGCCCAGCCGGGCCCCACGGTTCTGGCAGGAGAGAGCGTGACCTTGTCCTGCAGCTCCCGGAGCTCCTATGACATGTACCATCTATCCAGGGAGGGGGAGGCCCATGAACGTAGGTTCTCTGCAGGGCCCAAGGTCAACGGAACATTCCAGGCTGACTTTCCTCTGGGCCCTGCCACCCACGGAGGAACCTACAGATGCTTCGGCTCTTTCCGTGACTCTCCCTACGAGTGGTCAAACTCGAGTGACCCACTGCTTGTTTCTGTCACAGGTGAGGAAAGCCCATGGCTGTCCCATGTCCTATGATCCTAGAGCCTTAGCTGAGGAGCTTCCTGCTGAGGATGGAGAGAAGGATGAACAGATGCAGAGAGAAGACGAAGCTTGGGTGTGAGGGAGGGATCAGGGCACAGGATGGCAGACAGGGCACCTCCAAACCCTCCTACATGGCCTGCATGAAGGCCTGCGGCCAGGACTCCAGGCACCCAGGCAGATGGAGAAAGCGGTCAGGAGAGACCCAGAGGAGGGAGACTGGGCTCAGTTTGGGAAGATCAGAGGTTCCCTCAGCCCCTCAACATTACCCATTTCCCAGAAGCCCATCCTGGCCTCCCACCCACACAGGGATGTCATCACCTGCAACCCCTACACCCTTTACTTTTGTTTGAGAAATATTTATTGAGGATAAATATACCTATATAGCTTACCACCTTTAACATTTTTTTTTTGAGGCGGAGTCTAGCTCTGTCCCCTATGCTGGAGTGCATTGGCACAATCTCAGCTCACTGCAACTTCCGCCTCCTGGGTTCAAGCGATTCTCTTGCCTCAGCCACCTGAGTAGCTGGTGCTACAGGCGCGCACCACCATGCCAGGCTACTTTTTGTATTTTTAGTAGAGAGGGGGTTTCACCATGTTGGTCAAGCTGGTCTCGAACTCCTGACCACGTGATCCACCCGCATCAGCCTCCCAAAGTGCTGGGATTACAGGCATGAGCCACCACGCCCAGCCACATTTACCATTTTTAAGTGTAAAGTCTAGTGGTCATAAATACATTAATATATATATATATACACATATTTTTTTTTACCCTCCACCCTTTTCTTCCTGGCCTCTGGTAGCCACCATTCTACTCTCTACCTTCATGAGATCCACCTTTTAGCTCCTGTATATGGGTAAGAAATGGGAATCTTTGTAATGACCTCCAGTTCCATCCATGTGGCTGCAAATATCAGGATGTTTTTCTTTCTATGGAAGAGTAGTCTCCACTATGCAAATGTACCACATTCTCTCTATCCATTCACCCACTGATGGGCAGGTAGGTTGACTCCTCATCTTGGCTACTGTGAAGAGTGCTGCACCAATCATACGAGTGCAGATATCACTTCGATATATTGATTTACTTTCCTTTGGATATAAACCCAGTAGTGAAATTGCTGGATACTATGAAAGTTCTCTTTTTAGTTTTTCGTTTGTTGTTTTGTTTTTGTTTTTGAGACAGTTTCCCTCTGTGCCCAGGCTGGAGTACAAGTGATGTCATCTTGGCTCATTGCAACCTCTGCCTCCTGGGTTCAAATGATTTTCCTGCCTCAGCCTCCCTAGTATCAGGGATTATAGGCGCACGCCACCATGCCTGGCTACTTTTTGTTTTTTTTAGTATAGATGCGGTTTCCCCATGTTGGCTGGGCTGCTCTCAAACTCATGACCTCAACTGAGGTGCCCGCCTCGGTCTCCCAAAGTGCCGGGATTACAGGCATGATCCACCTCACCCAACCTCTTTTTAGTTCTTTAAAGGACTTCCACACTTTTCTCCGTAATGGCTGTACTAATTTACACTCCTACCAACAGGATACCAGGATTCTCCTTTCTCTAACACCTTGCCAGCATTTCTTTTGCCTGTCTTGCAGCTAAAAGCCATTTTATTTTATTTCATTTTATTTTGAGATGGAGTTTCGCTCTTGTCACCCAGGCTGAGTGCAGTGGTGCGATCTCGGCTCACCACAACCTCCACCTCCCAGGTTCAAGCGATTCTCCTGCCTCAGCCTCCCGAGTAGCTGGAATTACAGGCACACGCCACCACGCCCGACTAATTTTTGTATTTTTAGTAGAGACAGTGTTTCTCCATGTGGGTCAGACTGGTCTCAAACTCCCGACCTTATGAGATTCACCCACCTCAGGCTCTCAAAGTTCTAGGATGACAGACGTGAGCCACCACGCCCGGCCTAAAAGCCATTTTAATGGGGTGAGATGAAAACTCACTTTGATTTTAATTTGTGTTTCTCTGATGATGAGTGATACTGAGCACTTTTTCGTATGTGGGGAAATTTCATGTCTTTTGCTCCTGTTTCAATTAAATCATTTGTTTTATTGAGTTGTTTGAGCTTCTTATATTTCTAGTTATTAATCCCATCTCAGATGCATAGTTTGCACATATTTGCTCCCAATCTGTGGGTTGTCTCTTCACTTTGTTGGTTTATTTTTAGCGGTGCAGAAGTTGCTTAGTTTGAGGTAATCCCAATGGTCTATTTTTGCTTCGATTACTTGTGTTTTGAAGGTTTAAAACAAAATGTCTTCCTTCAGACAAACGTCCTGGAGCATTTCCCCAATATTTTCTTCTACGTGTTTCATAGGTTCAGGCCTTAGACTCACATCTTTAATCCATTTTCATTTGATTTTTGTGTATAGTGACAGGCAGAGGTGCAGTTTCATTCCTCTGCATGTCGATGTCCAGGTTTCCCTGCACTGTTTATTGAAAAGACTGTCCTTTCCTGATTGTGAGTTCTTGGCACCTTTGTCAAAGTCCATTGGATGGGCTGGGCATGGTGGCTGACACCTGCAATTTCAGCACTTTGGGAGCCCGAGGTGGGTGGATCACCTGAGGCCAAGAGTTCAAGATTAGTCTGGCCAACGTGATGAAACATCGTCTCCACTAAAAATATAAAAATTAGCTGAGCATGGTGGTCAGCACCTGTAATACCACTACTCAGGAGTTTGAGGCAAGAGAAGTGATTGAACCCAGGAGGCTGTGGTGGCAGTGAACCGAGATTGCACCTCTGCACTCCAGCCTGGGTGACAGAGCAAGACTCCATCTCAAAAGAAAAACAAAAAATACATTGGAGGTAAATGCATGGATTATATCTGTGTTATTCATTCTGCTCCGTTGTTCTATGTGCCTTTCTTCATGCCAACGTCATGCTGTCTTGCTTACTACAGCTCTGTAACATATTTTGAGATCAGGTAGTGTGATGCTCCTGTTTTCTCTTTATACCTTGAAGTCTCAAGACAGTAGCCGTCACATACAAAAATTACGGAAAAAAGGATCCCAGGACTCCCAGGGCCCAATATTAGATAACAGAGTGTTGGCCATGAACCAACCTCAAAGATTTCCACTGAGTAGAGGACAGACACCCTCATTTCCTCACCTCTCTCCTGTCTCATGTTCTAGGAAACCCTTCAAATAGTTGGCCTTCACCCACTGAACCAAGCTCCAAAACCGGTGAGTACAGAACCCTCTTATATCCGCTTTTGGAAACCTGGGGAGGTGGAAACCTTGGATTCAGGCGTTGACTCAGCATCTCACAGCTCTGACATTGTACGCCTGTCTTCTACCATCTCCAAACTCCAGATACTCCAACAGCGAAAGGGATCTGGACCCAAAACAGGGCTCTGTGAAATCTCTTAATCTCTCATTTTATGGAGCTGAGATCTCCTACAAGCTAGAAAAATGATTGGCAATCTGACATCCTTCTCAGGAAAAATGCAATGTTTGTTCTGCCTGCATTCCTAACTGGAGGATAAATTCCTGGGGGCTTGAGAGAGGGAAGGGTAGGGAACATTTGATGAGGGCGAGGTGTTTTAGAGAAGTTCCACTTGCCCAGGAATGAATTACTGTTGGTCATGAAGCAACCCTGGCTGACTCAGCAGAGCAAGAGCTTTGCCTTAACAGAGAACGGAGCTCATGCACGCACACTTCGACTCACTGACTCATTCAGCCACGGCCCCATGCTCAGGCCGTGGAAAAGGCAATTCCCAGCACTGCAGGAGGCCAAGGCGGGTGGATCACTTGAAGTCAGGAGTTCCAGACCAGCCTGGCCAAAATGGTGAAACCCTGTCTCTATGAAAAATACAAAAATTAGCCGAGCATGGTGGTGCATCCCTGTAATCCCAGCTCCTACTCTTGAGGATGAAGCAGGAGAACGACTTCAACCCAGGAGGTGGAGGTTGCAGTGAGTGGAGATTGCATCACTGCACTCCAGCCTGGGTGACACAAGGAGACTCCGTCTCAAAAAATAAAAATAAGAAATGCATAAATATAATAAAACACACACGAATGACAAAGGCACCTGAATTCCAATCATCATTTTTGTATTTCTCTATAATTACTTCTTTGATCCTTTGTCTTATCCATTAGGCAATGAGCCTAAAACCTCTTCCGTATTTGGCTTTCTGTGAGCATGAGACCATATAGAAAATGTGAAAGCCTGCTGAATCCTCCAGCACAGATCGTGGAATAGAGAAAGTGCTCTGTTCATCACAAAAAAAACTTGCCCTCTCACTCAAATCCCCCACTTCACCCCTACTTCCAATCACCTGTGGAGATTCAGATAGACCATGGGGAGGTAAACATTAATACTCCTTGGAGTGAGTCCAGATCTTGGAATGAGAGATCAGCACCAGCACTAGCTCCTGCTCCCCTTTCCTACTAATTCACAGGAGGACAGGTGGTATTGAAGCAATAGATGGTGGAGGGGGTGGTCCTTCCCCCAGCCTCTCAGGTAGAACAGCAGCCTAACATGTGTCTCCCGAGATCACAAAGAGTAGGACGTTTCACAGGGGCTTCAACACGATTTCCTGGCTGTTGGACATAAGATAACTCTATTTCGCTTTTTTATCTTGATTTCACTTTTGTTTCCTTTCCTTGGAGAACGCAAGTTGTTTGACTCAAGAATGCTGTGGATGTAGAAATCCTAAAGCACATTCGCTGTGTGTCAATCCCAGTGCAGTCTTCCCAGAAAAGACCCTAAACACCTCCTAGACTGCACCTGGGCCTACGCCAATTCCTATCACTCACCGTCACTCCAGGGAGACAGAACACACAGAGAATACGTTACATAGGCAGGTTCATTACTAACAGATAAGCAGCGAGTGAAAACAGAAGCCTACATTTCAATGTGAGCCAGTCCCTCAAGGCTCAGAAAAGCTGCTCGGGACATATGGAGTCACCCCATTTGCAGTGTAGCTGGGGGAAGCCAGAAAGCAGCCCAGCCTGGGTTTTGTACCCTGGAGCCACAGGAAGCACTCAGCTAAAGCACTGCATGACGTCCTCCTCCAGGAAGAACAGGAAGACAGCCCAGGCTGCTCTGGGACGTTCCTCCTGATCTCAGGACGTTGCTGTCTTAGTCCATTTTTGTTGCTCTAAAGGAACACTTGAGCCTGGGCAACTTCTAAAGAAAAGAGATTGGTTTGCCTCACCGTTCTGCAGGCTGTACTGGAAGCATGGCACCAGCATCTATTTCTCGTGATGGCCTCAGGCTGCTCCCACTCTGGCAGAAGGGAAGGAGGGTCTGTCTGTGCAGAGACCACAGAGATCACACGGCAAGAGAGGGAGCAAGGGGGAGGGGGAGCGATGGAGCTTCCAAGTTCTTTTGAACAACCAGCTCTCCAGGAACTAATAGAGGGGGAACTAGCTAACCCCGTCTCCTTGGGACAGCATTGATCTGTTCATGATGGATCCACCTCCATGACCCAAACACCTCTCAAGAGGCCCAACCTCCCACAATGGGGGTGAAATTTCAATGTGAGGTTTGAAGGGGTCAAACATCTCAACTAAAGTAGTTGTGTCCTCAGCACATTCTATGGTTACTTTGAGAGCTATAACTGAGAAAGCAGGAGAAAGCTGGGTCTCCCGCCATCTGGGTGCTTGTCCTAAAGAGGTGTTTTACGTGGTTACCTGTCAATCAAGAAATGCGAGACAATTCATAAAGAGGAACTGCTATGATTAGCTTCTTATTGGTGTCTCATCTTCTTCCAGGTAACCCAAGACACCTGCACGTTCTGATTGGGACCTCAGTGGTCATCATCCTCTTCATCCTCCTCCTCTTCTTTCTCCTTCATCGCTGGTGCTCCAACAAGAAAAGTAAGTCTCACGAAGGAGAGGCCAGAGAGCTCAGGGCCATGTGGGGAAGCAGGATGGGAGCACTCAGGTGTGTGTTCCTCACAGGTAGGATGGTCCCTGGCCCAAGGCAGCAGCCACAGAGGCAGGACTTTCTAGAGAGGGCACCAGACTCCCTGTCCCTGCTTTCAGCTCACAGACCGTTGCCTGATTCTGAACTGTATCCTCATGTCCCCTGCAGCCACTCACATCCAGGAGAAGGTTCCATGACAGGCAGAAAGTGGGAGACAGAATCAATGGGATGGGAACTCAGAGCTATTCATGGGATGGGTCCTTGAGCTCAGAGAGATAGAATGTCTGAGTCTGCTGTTGGCAACTGAGGGACCTCAGGCACCTATGGCCTCCCCCTGTTTGTTGGTATCTGCTTATGAAATGAGGACCCAGAAGTGCCCTCCGAGCTCTTTTGTTGACTTCCGTCTCCTACACATGCTGCTGTAATGGACCAAGAGCCTGCAGGGAACAGAACAGCGAATAGCGAGGTAGGTGCTCCTCGGCCCAGCCTCGTGGCTAGTGTTATTCCCAAACAGTCCTGGAAAACGTGAGCACCCTCCCTCACTCAGGATTTCCCTCTCTCCAGGACTCTGATGAACAAGACCCTCAGGAGGTGACATACGTACAGTTGGATCACTGCGTTTTCACACAGAGAAAAATCACTCGCCCTTCTCAGAGGCCCAAGACACCCCCAACAGATACCAGAGTGTACACGGAACTTCCAAATGCTGAGTCCAGATCCAAAGTTGTCTCCTGCCCATGAGCACCACAGTCAGGCCTTGAGGGGATCTTCTAGGGAGACAACAGCCCTGTCTCAAAACCGGGTTGCCAGCTCCCATGTACCAGCAGCTGGAATCTGAAGGCGTGAGTCTGCATCTTAGGGCATCGCTCTTCCTCACACCACAAATCTGAATGTGCCTCTCTCTTGCTTACAAATGTCTAAGGTCCCCACTGCCTGCTGGAGAGAAAACACACTCCTTTGCTTAGCCCACAATTCTCCATTTCACTTGACCCCTGCCCACCTCTCCAACCTTACTGGCTTACTTCCTAGTCTACTTGAGGCTGCAATCACACTGAGGAACTCACAGTTCCAAACATACAAGAGGCTCCCTCTTAACACGGCACTTAGACACGTCCTGTTCCACCTTCCCTCATGCTGTTCCACCTCCCCTCAGAGTATCTTTCAGCCTTCTGTCAGCAGTAAAACTTATATATTTTTTAAAATAATTTCAATGTAGTTTTCCCTCCTTCAAATAAACATGTCTGCCCTCATGGTTTCGGTAATGGGACTCTTTTCTTGCCTAAGACTTCCATTATCATTACCATGTCCACATAACCCCATCTGTTCTCCACTGGGTTCTCACCCCCGGACTCTGAGTTTCTGGAAGCAGGGTGGAGCCTCATTTGTCTCTGGGACTCCTATTTCCATCCAAAGATGTAGCACATAGGAGGTTCCAAGGATCGTGAATCACATGAACAAGTGATATTCTTACTCTCTGCAGACCTGGAAATCTGGCAGAGTCATTCCAAGATGAAACATTTGTAGAATCATAGGCCTTGTTAGTCTCATCTACACAGGGACACATATCAACACATCATCTTTCACACTATAAATATACAGTCACTCCTCCATATCTGTGGGGTTTACAGTTCTTTATTGAACCGAGTATAAATCAAAAATATTCAGAGAAAGTATCCACAGAGTTACAAAAAGCAGAACTGTGTTGAATGGACACAAATGAAGCTGTGTGTAGGCTGCATCAGGAATTATAAGTAATCTAGAGATGATTTCATGTATACAGGAGGATGTGCATAGGTTATTTGCAAACTCTGTGCCATTTCATATAAGAGGCTTGAGCATCTACAGATTTTGGTATCTGAGTGGAGATCTCGAAACCAATCACCCACGAATAGTGAAGGATGACCGTATATGACTTTTATTTCTCAAATTTAAATATAAATCATAAAAAATGTACAACTAGATAAAAACTAAGAAGTGTTTTTATAGTGTGAGTTAGATTTATTTTTTCCTAGGTATAACCCATTGGTTTAATATTATTTATTGAGAAGACATTCTATGCCACCTTAAACCACACGGCAGCCTTTGTCAACTCTAAAGGGACTGTGTGTACACGGATGTACTTTAGACACTGTTTCTGCTAAGGGGCTCTCTGTGTCCACACTCTTGATGATGCTGCACTTTATGTAGCCTTATAGAACCCTTTAAATTTAGTAGCCAGAGCTCTCTAATTTGTTATTATAGGCTATTTGCTTTTTTTTCTTGAGGCGGAGTCTTGCTCTGTCGCCCAGGCTGGACTGCAGTGACACAATCTCAGCTCACTGCAACTTCTGCCTCCCAGGTTCAAGCGATTCTCATGCCTCAGCCTCTTGAGTAGCTGGCGTTACAGGTGCCTGCCACCAGGCACGGCTAATTTTTGGATTTTTAGCAGAGACACGGTTTCACTATATTGGCCAGGCTGCTCTCAAACTCCTTATCTCAGTTGATCCGCCCACCTCGGCTTCCCAACGTGCTGGGGAAACTTGATTTTCTATAGCATTATGTTACTGGATATTTCTGTAAAATTTAAAATGAGGGAGGGAGAGAGACAGACGGAAAACAAACTCCAGAGTTGGGACTCTGGAATCTTGGGTCATGAGACAAATTTTAGATTAAACTACAAAACTCCAGAATTTACAGGTGGGGTTTTTACTGATAAAGTACAATTCTAAGATTGTAAATAATTGCATAATCCTTCCCTGGGAATTTAAATCATTTTAACTGGTTCTGCTGTAATACTAGAAATACAAGCATGAAAAATTCTAATGGTTTATTAGTGACAATGACTCTGAAAACATTAATAATACCTATTAGATATTTTGCATATTACACAGGAAGAAGAGTTTGAATCTCAGATAAAAACAATAGAAATACATGAAAAGTCTTTCATGTTAGCACAGATTTTAGGCATCTCGTGTTCGGGAGGTTGGATCTCAGACGTGTTTTGAGTTGGTCATAGTGAAGGACACTAGGTGTCAAATTCTAGCGAGAACAATTTCCAGGAAGCCGTGTTCCGCTCTTGAGCGAGCACCCACTGGGCCTCATGCAAGGTAGAAAGAGCCTGCGTACGTCACCCTCCCATGATGTGGTCAACATGTAAACTGCATGGGCAGGGCGCCAAATAACATCCTGTGCGCTGCTGAGCTGAGCTCGGTCGCGGCTGCCTGTCTGCTCCGGCAGCACCATGTCGCTCTTGGTCGTCAGCATGGCGTGTGTTGGTGAGTCCTGGAAAGCAATAGAGGGAGGGAGTGAGGGGATGGAGATCTGGGCCCAGAGGTGGAGATATAGGCCTGGAGGTGGAGTTATGGGCCTGGAGTGGAGATCTGGGCCTGGAGTGGATATATGGGCCTAGAGATGGAGTGATGGGCCTAGAAGTGGAGATCTGGGCCCAGAGGTCGAGATATAGGCCTGGAGGTGGAGTGATGGGACTGTAGTGGAGATCTGGGCCTGGAGTGGAGATAGGAACCTGGAGGGGAGATAGGAACCTGGAGGGGAGATATGGGCCTGGAGGTGGAGATATGGGCCTGGAGTGGAGTCATGGGCCTGGAGGTGGAGTTATGGGCCTGCAGTAGAGATATGGGCCTGAAGTGGAGACATGGGCCTGGAGTGGAGATATGGGCCAGGAGTGGAGATATGGGCCTAGAGGTCGATATCTGGGCCTGGAGTGGAGATATGGGCCAGGAGTGGAGATATGGGCCTAGAGGTCGATATCTGGGCCTGGAGAGGAGATATGTGCCTAGGATGGAGATACGGGCCTGGGTGTGGAGATATGGGACTGGAGAGGATATATGGGCCTGGAGTGGAGATATGGGACTGGAGAGGAGATATGGACCTGGAGTGGAGATAAGGGCCTGGATTGGAGATATGGGCCCAGGGTGGAGATCTGAGCCTGGATTGGAGATATGGGCCTGGATTGGCGATATGGGCTTAGGGTGGAAATATCGGCCTGGAGTGGAGATATGGGCCTGGAGTGGAGATATGGGCTTGAGGTGGGGATATGGACCTGGAGGCTGGGTCTCTGCACAGCCGACAGCCCTGTTCTTGGGTGCAGGTAGGCACTGAGGGTGAGTTTACCTTCAGCCCAGGAAGGGCCTGGCTACCAAGACTCACAGCCCAGTGGGGGCAGCAAGGGTGCCCTGGTTTGCCTGCAGATGGGTCATCCATCATGATCTTTCTTTCCAGGGTTCTTCTTGCTGCAGGGGGCCTGGCCACATGAGGGTGAGTCCTTCTCCCAACCTTCGGGTGTCATCTCCCCACATAAGAGGATTTTCCTGAAATGGGAGGGAAGTCCTGTCAGGGAGTCTCTCATAAACTAGGAAGAAGGGACCCTGGGGTGCTGGGCCCACATTTCTGACCTTGCCTCCCTGGCCTTTCATTCCCTTGGCAGAGTCAAGTTCTGTGGGGACCAGGGTTAGACTACGGTGCTCAAAGCTGGGGTGTGTGGTGGGGAAGTGGTAGGAACAGCAGATCCTCTGAGGACAAAGGTGTTACTCACACACTTCAGCGTTTCCATGACGGTAGGGGCTGCAGTGTGGCTGCTGTCATTCTACCAGAAGAGGTGGGAAAACCACAGCCATGGCCCTGACATTCCAATCCTCTGATGGGGACTCAGTTGTTTATTTTCGTTCAGGCATCGGCTGATATTCCATTCTCAAAGGACATGCCCTCCACCCCATGTCTACCCTGTGTTGTTTTATGTGAGTAATCTTACAGTATTAAAATCTAGTAGGAGTCTCTTACTCAGCACTTGCTCAAAGTTCTCAGCTGACACTTTTGTTGTAGGGAGACACCTTGTGTTTGCGGGATGGGTCCTTCCTTTAGCCCTGGGCACCAAGGTGTGATAGCAGCCATAGAAACTTGGAAAGCGAGGAGAATCTTCAGAGCACAGGGAGGGAGGGGCGGCTCCACATCCTCCTCTCTAAGGCGGTGCCTCCTTCTCCCCACGGTGGTCAGGACAAGCCCTTGCTGTCTGCCTGGCCAAGCCCTGTGGTGCCTCCAGGACATGTGATTCTTCAGTGTCATTCTTATCTTGGGTTTAACAACTTCAGTCTGTAAAAGGAAGATGGGGTGCCTGTCCCTGAGCTCTACAACATAATATTCTGGAACAGCCTTTTCATGGGCCCTGTGACCCCAGCACACGCAGGGACCTATACATGTCGGGGTTCACAACCACACTACCCCAGTGGGTGGTCGGCACCCAGCAACCCCCTGGAGATCACGGTCACAGGTCAGAGGGCTCCTGTCTGGGATTCTCCTTGTCCCACCTCCTGAATCCCAGAGCTCCTGGTGGGCGTGTCCTTGCGGGTCCCATCATGCAAGTCCTGACTGTATTTGGGGTAAAGGGGGATTGAATACAGGGAAATGGGTGCTGTGGTGGGAAGAATAATTGTCCCCAGTGATGACTACATTCTAATCCCTGGAGTCTGTGACTATTTATGATATAGGGGAAGGGACTGAAGGAGAAGATGGAGCTCAGGTTGTTGATGAGTTGACCTTGAGATGGGGAGACAGCCTGGACTGTCCTGATGGGCTCAGTGTAGTCACAGGGGTCCACATGAAAGGAGGAGGAAGAGGGGAGTGGGGATTACAGCAGCATAATGGGAGTCTCCATCAGCTTTGAAGGTGGAGGAAGTCCAGGAGCCATGAATGCAGGTGGCCTATAGAGGCTGGAAAAGTCAAGGAACTGATTCTCCTGAGTCTCCAGAGGGAACGAAGCCCTGCAGGTGCCTTGATTTTACCCACGACAAACAGGGTCCGATTTCTGTCTCCAGAATTGGAAGGGGTTAGTGTGCTCTCTCCTGGTGCCATGCTTCTGATAATTTTCTACAGCAGCAACAGGAAACCAACACTGGAACCCAGGTCAAGGACAAGTTAAGAAACAACACAAGGATAGCCAGGCATGGTGGCAGGTGCATGTAATCCTAGCGACTTGGGAGGCTGAGGGCAGGAGAATCACTTGAACCCAGGAGACAGAGGTTGCAGTGAGCCTAGACCACACCACTTCACTCCAGCCTGGGCAAAGGAGTGAGACTCTGTCGCCAAAATTAATTAATTAATTAAAGAAACCAAACAAGGAGAAGGTTGGCTACACTGAGATCAGCAAGGCTCAGATGATGATGCCACCACCAGGCTCCATCCACATAGGGAGGGGTTGATACTCCTCCAACCAGCACCAGGAGCCAGCCTATGGAAGCTGGCACTGGCATGGCAAGAGTGGCTCCCAGTCCCTACCAGGAACAGGGTGTGTGGCCACTGGTGCCTGCCTTACTGATCAGTTCATACCTCCTGCCAAGGATTCCAATTCGTCCAAAAGAGATTGAACCAGGCTGCTAAGAGCCTGGATGTGCAGCCTATCCTGGTTCCTCTTCCACCCCCACATAGACAGCAGGAAAGACATTAGTTCGAAATAGATACAACAGCCCAAGAGATGAGGCTGAGCCCAGCGGCAAGGGAATCAGAGGCTACTAGAGACAGAGGGACAGAGAAGAGTGAGGGAGACAGATGGAAGGACCTGCACCAGGAGTTATGGGCACAGAAAAGAACATGAAGACACAGAGAGGAAGGAGAGAGATAAGACACCAGGAAGGGGAAGCCTGACTCAATCCAGGTGCCATGGATGGGATGATAAAGAGAGACACCTTCTAAACTCACAACCTCTCTTCCTAGGAGTCCACAGAAAACCTTCCCTCCTGGCCCACCCAGGTCGCCTGGTGAAATCAGAAGAGACAGTCATCCTGCAGTGTTGGTCAGATGTCATGTTTGAACACTTCCTTCTGCACAGAGAGGGGATGTTTAACGACACTTTGCGCCTCATTGGAGAACACCATGATGGGGTCTCCAAGGCCAACTTCTCCATCAGTCGCATGACGCAAGACCTGGCAGGGACCTACAGATGCTACGGTTCTGTTACTCACTCCCCCTATCAGGTGTCAGCTCCCAGTGACCCTCTGGACATCGTGATCATAGGTGAGAGTGTCCAGACTTTCTTCTCATTGTCATTGGGATGCAGAGTGAATGATCCAGGAATTGGAGACCCAGGTGGCTGTAAGGAAGATGAGCTTGGTATTCTTATGGAGAGAGACTGACTTGGTGAGGTCTGTGCCAACAGAGACAGAGAAACAGGAGACACAAGTAGAGACCAGGTGTCATAACAGAGAACAGACACAGGGGCCATACCGGGAGTTAGAAAAGACAGAAAGAGTTAAAGGAGACACACAGACAGACATGTCCCAGAGAGAGGTGTCCCTCCATGCTGACTTTGCTCAGAGACCTGGCACAGGTTAGAAGTTTCATTTCTGTTTTACCTCCACAAAGTGTTCTCTACCAGGAGAACCCAAGGACACCCATATTTCTGACCTGAGTTGGGCCCTGTGGCCTCAGGCCTTGTGGCACCTACAGATGCCATGTTTATTCTGACACCTCTGCCTTCCATGTAATGGAGAGTAATCGTCCCAGGATATCATGGCCCCACAACACCAACCCCTGTATGCTGTGTGAACTTGTAGTCTCCAGACTGGATTCTGAGGCTCATATTCCAAATAAGCCCACTTATGAGAGGATCAGTGAGAGGCACAGAGAGAAATCAGGGACACCAAAAAGCAAAGACATAAACACACAGAGAATGAGCCAGAGGAAGGAGATTGAGAGACTCACAGACACATAAAGAGAGAGAAAAGAGGGCAGAGGAGTGGTGAGAATGATGGAAGGGAGCAGAGAAAAGCACTAAAATTAGACTCCTGAGGGAGAGGCACAAGGACATTGAAAGATGGAGATGTGGGGATGAATTGCAGAGATTCCAAAGAGAACTAGAGAGACCGAGAGGCAGAGCAAGACAGATGATAGATGGATAGATATAGATAGATGATAAATAGGTAGATGATAGATAATAGGTTATAGATACATAGATGATGATTGATTGATTCATTAATAGATGAGACATAGAGATGATGATGATGAAGACAGATAGATAGATAATACATAGAGATACAGAGGCAGACATAGAGAAATCATAGAGAGAGAGAGATGATACATAGATATAGATAATAGATGATTGATGGATAGATAGACAATTGATGGATAAATAGATGATATATAGATATAGATGACAGGTAGAGAATTTGTAGATAGGCACCGAATAGATAAATAGATAGATCGATAGATAATAGATAGAAATATGCAGAAAGTTATGAACAGGACACAAAGTGAGAAACTCAGAATTAAAAAAAGTAACATCAAGTCAACCAATCCAAGGAGAGTCAGAGAGAATAAAACAATCCAAAAAGAGAAAACATATCTAGAGGTGGGGAAGTGAGGTCAGAGACCTAGAGAGACAGAGAAGGTGGAAGGAGGAAATAGACATGAAGAGCGATGGGGTAGAGGGTGAGAGAGAGAGAGAGAGAGCATTAGGTCATAGAACAGGGGAGTGAGTTCTCAGCTCAGGTGAAGGGAGCTGTGACAAAGAAGATCCTCCCTGAGGAAACTGCCTCTTCTCCTTCCAGGTCTATATGAGAAACCTTCTCTCTCAGCCCAGCTGGGCCCCACGGTTCTGGCAGGAGAGAATGTGACCTTGTCCTGCAGCTCCCGGAGCTCCTATGACATGTACCATCTATCCAGGGAAGGGGAGGCCCATGAACGTAGGCTCCCTGCAGGGCCCAAGGTCAACGGAACATTCCAGGCTGACTTTCCTCTGGGCCCTGCCACCCACGGAGGGACCTACAGATGCTTCGGCTCTTTCCATGACTCTCCATACGAGTGGTCAAAGTCAAGTGACCCACTGCTTGTTTCTGTCACAGGTGAGGAAAGCCCATGGCTGTCCCATGTCCTATGATCCTAGAGCCTTAGCTGAGGAGCTTCCTGCTGAGGATGGAGAGAAGCATGGACAGATGCAGAGAGAAGACGCAGCCTCGGTGTGAGGGAGGGATCAGGGCACAGGATGGCCGACAGGGCACCTCCAAACCCTCCTACATGGCCTGCATGGAGGCCCACGGCCAGGGCTCCAGGCACCCAGGCAGATGGAGAAAGCGGTCAGGAGAGACCCAGAGGAGGGAGACTGGGCTCAGTTTGGGGAGATCAGAGGTTCCCTCAGCCCCTCAACCTTACCCATTTCCCAGAAGCCCATCCTGGCCTCTCACCCACACAGAGATGTCATCACCAGCAACCCCTACACCCTTTACTTTTCTTTGAAGAAATATTTATTGAGGATAAATATACCTATATAGCTTACCACTTTTAACATTTTTTTTTGAGGTGGAGTCTAGCTCTGTCCCCTATGATGGAGTGCAGTGGCACAATCTCAGCTCACTGCAACCTCCGCCTCCTGGGTTCAAGCGATTCTCCTGCCTCAGCCACCTGAGTAGCTAGTGCTACAGGCACGCACCACCACGCCAGGCTACTTTTTGTATTTTTAGTAGAGAGGTGGTTTCACCATGTTGGTCGAGCTGGTCTCGAACTCCTGACCACGTGATCCACCCGCATCAGCCTCCCAAAGTGCTGGGATTACAGGCATGGGCCACCAGGCCCAGCCACATTTACCATTTTTAAGTGTAAAGTCTAGTGGTCATAAATACATTTTTATATATATATATATATACATTTTTTTTACCCTCCACCCTTTTCTTCCTGTCCTCCAGTAGCCACCATTCTACTCTCTACCTTCATGAGATCCACCTTTTAGCTCCTGTATATGGGTGAGAAATGGGAATCTTTTTAATGACCTCCAGTTCCATCCATGTGGCTGCAAATGACAGGATGTTATTCTTTCTATGGATGAGTAGTCTCCACTGTGCGTATGTACTACATTCTCTCTATCCATTCACCCACTGATGGGCAGGTAGGTTGACTCCTCATCTTGGCTACTGTGAACAGTGCTGCACCAATCATACGAGTGCAGATATCACTTCGATATGTTGATTTACTTTCCTTTGGATATAAACCCAGTAGTGAAATTGCTGGATACTATGAAAGTTCTCTTTTTTTTTTTTTTTTCTTTTTTGAGAAAGAGTTTCCCTCCTTAGCCCAAGCTGGAGTCAAAGTGGTGCAACCTTGGCTCATTGCAACCTCCGCCTCCTGGGTTCAAATGATTTTCCTGCCTCAGCCTCCCTAGTAGCTGGGATTACAGGTGCACACCACCATGCCTGGCTACTTTTTGGTTTTTTTAGTATAGATGCGGTTTCCCCATGTTGGCTGGGCTGCTCTCAAACTCATGACCTCAACTGAGGTGCCCGCCTCAGTCTCCCAAAGTGCCGGGATTACAGGCATGATCCACCTCACCCAACCTCTTTTTAGTTCTTTAAAGGACTTCCATACTTTTCTCCGTAATGGCTGTACTAATTTACACTCCTCCCAACAGGGTACCAGGGTTCTCCTTTCTCTACCACCTTGCCAGCATTTCTTTTGCCTGTCTTGCAGCTAAAAGCCATTTTATTTTATTTCATTTTATTTTGAGATGGAGTTTTGCTCTTCTCACCCAGGCTGGAGTGCAGTGGCGCTATCTCGGCTCACCACAACCTCCACCTCCCAGGTTCAAGCGATTCTCCTGCCTCAGCCTCCCGAGTAGCTGGAATTACAGGCACACGCCACCACGCCCTACTAATTTTTGTATTTTTAGTAGAGACAGCGTTTCTCTATGTGGGTCAGACTGGTCTCAAACTCCCAACCTTATGAGATTCACCCACCTCAGGTTCTCAAAGTTCTAGGATGACACAAGTGAGCCACCTCACCCGGCCTAAAAGCCATTTTAATGGGGTGAGATGAAAACTCACTTTGATTTTAATTTGCGTTTCTCTGATGATGAGTGATACTGAGCACTTTTTCGTATGTGGGGAAATTTCATGTCTTTTGCTCCTTTTTCAATTAAATCATTTGTTTTATTGAGTTGTTTGAGCTTCTTATATTTCTAGTTATTAATCCCATCTCAGATGCATAGTTTGCACATATTTGCTCCCAATCTGTGGGTTGTCTCTTCACTTTGTTGGTTTATTTTTAGCAGTGCTGAAGTTGCTTAGTTTGAGGTAATCCCAATGGTCTATTTTTGCTTCGATTACTTGTGTTTTGAAGGTTTAAAACAAAATGTCTTCCTTCAGACAAACGTCCTGGAGCATTTCCCCAATATTTTGTTCTACGTGTTTCATAGGTTCAGGCCTTAGACTCACATCTTTAATCCATTTTCATTTGATTTTTGTGTATGGTGACAGGTAGAGTTGCAGTTTCATTCCTCTGCATGTAGATGTCCAGGTTTCCCTGCACTGTTTATTGAAAAGACTGTCCTTTCCTGATTGTGAGTTCTTGGCATCTTTGTCAAAGTCCATTGGATGGGCTGGGCTTGGTGGCTAACACCTGCAATTTCAGCACTTTGGGAGCCCGAGGTGGGTGGATCACCTGAGGCCAGGAGTTCAAGATTAGTCTGGCCAACGTGATGAAACATCGTCTCCACTAAAAATATAAAAATTAGCTGAGCATGGTGGTCAGCACCTGTAATACCACTACTCAGGAATTTGAGGCAAGAGAATGATTGAACCCAGGAGGCTGAGGTTGCAGTGAACCGAGATTGCACCTCTGCACTCCAGCCTGAGTGACAGAGCAAGACTCCATCTCAAAAGAAAAAATAAAAAACCATTGGATGTAAATGCATGGAATATATCTGTGTTATTCATTCTGCTCCGTTGTTCTATGTGCCTTTCTTTATGCCAATGTCATGCTATTTTGCTTACTACAGCTCTGTAACATATTTTGAGATCAGGTAGTGTGATGCTCCTGTTTTCTCTTTATATCTTGAAGTCTCAAGACAGTGGGTGTCATATAAAAAAATTATGGAAAAAAGGATCCCAGGACTCCCAGGGCTCAATATTAGATAAGAGAGTGTTGGCCATGAACCATCCTCAAAGATTTCCACTGAGTGGAGGACAGACACCCTCATTTCCTCACCTCTCTCCTGTCTCATGTTCTAGGAAACCCTTCAAATAGTTGGCCTTCACCCACTGAACCAAGCTCCAAAACCGGTGAGTACAGAACCCTCTTATATCCGCTTTTGGAACCCTGGGGAGGTGGGAACCTTGGATTCAGGCGTTGACTCAGCATCTCACAGCTCTGACATTGTACACTTGTCTTCCACCATCTCCGAACTCCAGATACTCCTACAGCGAAAGGGATCTGGGCCCAACACAGGGCTCAGTGAAATCTCTTCATCTCTCATTTTATGGAGCTGAGACCTCCTACAAGCTAGAAGAATGATTGCCAATCTGACATCCTTCTCAGGAAAAATGCAATGTTTGTTCTACCTGCATTCCTAACTGGAGGATAAATTCCTGGAGACTTGAGAGAGGGAAGGGAAGGGAACATCTGATGAGGGCAAGGTGTTTTAGAGAAGTTCCACTTGCCAAGGAATGAGCTCCTGTAGGTCATGAAGCAACCCTGGCTGACTCCGCAGAGAAAGAGCCTTGCCGTAACAGAGAACAGAGCTCATGCACGCACACTTCGACTCACTGACTCATTCAGCCACGGCCCCATGCTCAGGCTGTGCAGTGTGGAACCTTTTCCTATTGTTGCCATAACAAATTTCCACAAGATTCGTGGGTGAAAACAAAACGGTTTTTTAATTATCTTACAGTGCTGTAGCTCAAAGTAGGAAGTGCATCTTACTGGGCTAAAATCAAGGTGACAGCAAGGCTGCCTTCCCTCTGAGGATTCCAGGCACGAATCTGCTTCTCACTTGTCCCAGCTTCTAAAGGCTCCCAGTTCCTTGGCTCCTGGTCCCCTTCCTCCTTCCTCAAAGCCCACAAAGACTGGTCACATCTCACATGGCATCACTCAGTGCCTTCTTCCTTACCACACCTCTTTCTCTGAGTGCTGCTCTCCCTTCTTCCTCATCTTTTGAAAACTTGGGGATTCTATTGGGTTCACCAAGATGAAAATCCCTCATAATCTCCTGGAAATCATCCAGGATACCCTTGTTTTAAGTTCAGCTGATTAGCAACCATAATTCCATCTGCAATCTTCATTCCTCCTTTCCATGTAAAATAACATATTCACAAGCTATGGAGGCTAGGACAGGGACATTTTGGGGTGGGACAGCATTCTCCTGCCTTCCACAAACAGTGAACAAGATGCATTTGGCCTCTGCCCTTGGGACACTGATATTGCAGATGGTTAAATGGGAGGGCAGAAAATGAACGCACAAGTGGATCTATAAATGAATGGTCCATTGGGAAGCATCTGTGCATGAAATCTATTTTTTGTTTGTTCTTTTGTTTATTGAGACAGAGTCGCCCTCTGTCTTCCAGGCTACAGTGCAGTGTCACGATCTTGGCTCACTGCAACCTGCGTCTCCTGGATTCAAGTGATTCTCCTGCCTCCGCCTCTCGAGTAGCTGGGATTACAGGCAACTGCCACCGTGCCCGGCTAATTCTTTTTGTATATTTTTTGTAGAGAGGATGTTTCACCACGTTGGCCAAGCTTGTCTGAAACTCCCAACCTCAAGTGATCCGACCGTCTCAGCATGCCAAAGTAATGGGACTACAGGCGTGAGCCACTGTGCCCAGCCAGAATTCAAAATCAATAATAGATAATGCTGAGTGTATGATTTCAGGTGACAAAGAAGGTCTCACTATTCAGATATTTGTGACATTAATGAAAAACACGGAATGAACCCCTGAAAGATTGGCGGAAGGATTTTGCACACACAGCTGTCAGCCATGAAGGCACAAAGGTGAAAACAATCTGATGTGGAAGGAAGAGGCTCTGACTCAAATGCTGGGAATGAGGTGGGGAGAATGACAAGACGACTGTAGAGAGACGGAGAGCACACTGGGTACACAGGAAACTAAGGAGCAACAAGGAGTGTGTGTTTGACACTCACAGCCATTGGATTCACCTCGGGGTAACCAGGAATCCCTACATGATTAATATGACTGACATGAAAATAAGGGAGGCCCAGGTGCATAACTGGAATCTAGGAGACCGTGGAAAAGGCAATTGCCGCCCCACTGGTGAAATGTGGTGCTGATTTAGACACTAAATGAATGAAGTAGATGGATATAAGATATGTTTGTGAGGTAGAATCATTGACTGGAAAGGCTTACTGGGTTTGATTTTCCTACTTGTTTAATCCTCGCTTAATTAATTTCTTTCTGAGATTTATTCATCCTACACATAAATCAATACCTGGCAAAGGAGTGACAGATATATGAGTGGTGGTGGAAATGAAGAGACTTATTATAGCATAATATACAAGTCTGTGAACAGTGGCTCACGCCTGTAACCTAGCACTGCAGGAGGCCAAGGTGGGTGGATTCCATGAAGTCAGGAGTTCCAGACCAGCCTGGCCAACGTGGTGAAACCCTATCTCTACTAAAAATACAAAAATTAGCCGAGCACGATGGTGCATCCCTGTAATCCCAGCTCCTATTCTGGAGGATGAAGCAGGAGAATGACTTCAACCCAGTAGGTGGAGGTTGCAGTGAGTGGAGATTGCATCACTGCACTCCAGCCTGGGGGACACAAGGAGACTCTATCTCAAAAAATAAAAATAAGAAATACATAAATATAATAAAACACACACGAATGACAAAGGCACCTGAATTCCAATCATCGTTTTTCTATTTCTCTATAATTACTTCTTTGATCCTTTATCTTATCCATTAGGCAATGAGCCTAAAACCTCTTCCCTATTTGGCTTTCTGTGAGCATGAGATCATATAGAAAATGTGAAAGCCCGCTGAATCCTCCAGCACAGATCCTGGAATAGAGAAAGTGCTCTGGTCATCACAAAAAAAACTTGCCCACTCACCCAAATCCCCCACCTCACCCCTACTTCCAATCACCTGTGGAGATTCAGATAGACCATGGGGAGGTAAACATTAACACTCCTTGAAGTGAGTCCAGATCTTGGAATCAGAGATCAGCGACAGCACTAGCTCCTGCTCCCCTTTCCTACTAATTCACAGGAGGACAGGTGGTTTTGAAGCAATAGATGGCCGAGGGGGTGGTCCTTCCCCCAGCCTCTCGGGTAGAACAGCAGCCTAATATGTGTCTCCCGAGATCACAAAGAGCAGCAGGTTTCACACGGGCTTCAACACTATTTCCTGGCCGTTTGACATAAGAGAATTCTATTTCGCTTTTTTTATCTTGATTTCACTTTTGTTTTCTTTCCTTGGAGAATGCAAGTTGTTTGATTCAAGAATGCTGTGGATGTAGAAACCCTAAAGCACATTCGCTGTGAATCAATCCCAGTCCAGTCTTCCCAGAGAAGACTCTAAACACCTCCTGGACTGCACCTGGGCCTATGCCAATTCCTATCACTCACCGTCACTCCAGGGAGACAGAACACACAGAGAATACGTTACATAGGCAGGTTCATTACTAACAGATAAGCAGCGAGTGACAACAGAAACCTATATTTCAATGTGACCCAGTCCCTCAAGGCTCAGAAAAGCTCCTCGGGACATATGGAGTCACCCCATTTGCAGTGTAGCTGCGGGAAGCCAGAAAGCAGCCCAGCCTGGGTTTTGTACCCTGGAGCCACAGGAAGCACTCAGCTAAAGCACTGCATGACGTCCTCCAGGAAGAACAGGAAGACAGCCCAGGGTGTTCTGAGACGTTCCTCCTGATCTCAGGAAGTTGCTGTCTTAGGCCATTTTTGTTGCTCTAAAGGAACACTTGAGCCTCGGTAACTTCTAAAGAAAAGAGATTGGTTTGCCTCACCGTTCTGCAGGCTGTACTGGAAGCATGGCACCAGCATCTATTTCTCGTGACGGCCTCAGGCTGCTCCCACTCTGGCAGAAGGGAAGGAGGGTCTGTCTGTGCAGAGACCACAGAGATCACACGGCAAGAGAGGGAGCAAGGGGGAGGGGGAGTGATGGAGCTTCCAAGCTCTTTTTAACAACCAGCTCTCCGGGAACTAATAGAGGGGGAACTTGCTAACCCCGTCTCCTTGGGACAGCATTGATGTGTTCATGATGGATCCACCTCCATGACCCAAACACCTCTCAAGAGGCCCAACCTCCCACAGTGGGGGTGAAATTTCAATGTGAGGTTTGAAGGGGTCAAACATCTCAACTAAAGTAGTCGTATCCTCAGCACGTTCTATGGTTACTATGAGAGCTATAACAGAAAAAGCAGGAGAAAGCTGGGTCTCCTGCCATCTGGGTGCTTGTCCTAAAGAGGTGTTTTATGTGGTTACCTGTCAATCAAGAAATGCGAGACAATTCATAAAGAGGAACTGCTAAGATTAGCTTCTTATTGGTGTCTCATCTTCTTCCAGGTAACCCCCGACACCTGCACATTCTGATTGGGACCTCAGTGGTCATCATCCTCTTCATCCTCCTCTTCTTTCTCCTTCATCGCTGGTGCTCCAACAAAAAAAGTAAGTCTCACGAAGCAGAGGCCAGAGAGCTCAGGGCCATGTGGGGAAGCAGGATGGGAGCACTCAGGTGTGTGTTCCTCACAAACAGGATGGTCCCTGGCCCAAGGCAGCAGCCACAGAGGCAGGACTTTCTAGAGAGGGCACCAGACTCCCTGTCCCTGCCTTCAACTCACAGACCGTTGCCTGATTCTGAACTGTATCCCCATGTCCCCTGCAGCCACTCACATCCAGGAGAAGGTTCCATGACAGGCAGAAAGTGGGAGACAGAATCAATGGGATGGGAACTCAGAGCTATTCATGGGATGGGTCCTTGAGCTCAGAGAGATAGAATGTCTGAGTCTGCTGTTGGCAACTGAGGGACCTCAGCCACCTATGGTCTCCCCCTGTATGTTGGTATCTGCTTATGAAATGAGGACCCAGAAGTGCCCTCCGAGCTGTTTTGTTGACTTCCATCTTCTACAGATGCTGCGGTAATGGACCAAGAGTCTGCAGGAAACAGAACAGCGAATAGCGAGGTAGGTACTCCTCGGCCCGGGCTCGTGGCTACTGTTATTCCCAAAGAGTCCTGGAAAATGTGAGCACCCTCCCTCACTCAGCATTTCCCTCTCTCCAGGACTCTGATGAACAAGACCCTCAGGAGGTGACATACACACAGTTGAATCACTGCGTTTTCACACAGAGAAAAATCACTCGCCCTTCTCAGAGGCCCAAGACACCCCCAACAGATATCATCGTGTACACGGAACTTCCAAATGCTGAGTCCAGATCCAAAGTTGTCTCCTGCCCATGAGCACCACAGTCAGGCCTTGAGGGCGTCTTCTAGGGAGACAACAGCCCTGTCTCAAAACCGGGTTGCCAGCTCCCATGTACCAGCAGCTGGAATCTGAAGGCGTGAGTCTGCATCTTAGGGCATCGATCTTCCTCACACCACAAATCTGAATGTGCCTCTCTCTTGCTTACAAATGTCTAAGGTCCCCACTGCCTGCTGGAGAAAAAACACACTCCTTTGCTTAACCCACAGTTCTCCATTTCACTTGACCCCTGCCCACCTCTCCAACCTAACTGGCTTACTTCCTAGTCTACTTGAGGCTGCAATCACACTGAGGAACTCACAATTCCAAACATACAAGAGGCTCCCTCTTAACGCAGCACTTAGACACGTGTTGTTCCACCTTCCCTCATGCTGTTCCACCTCCCCTCAGACTAGCTTTCAGTCTTCTGTCAGCAGTAAAACTTATATATTTTTTAAAATAACTTCAATGTAGTTTTCCATCCTTCAAATAAACATGTCTGCCCCCATGGTTTCGGTAATGGGACTCTTTTCTTGCCTAAGGCTTCCGGTGTTATCAGTACCATGTCCATATAATCCCATCTGTTCCCCACTGAGTTCTCATCCCCGGACTCTGAGTTTCTGGAAGCAGGGTGGAGCCTCATTTGTCTCTGGGACTCCAATTTCCATCCAAAGATGTAGCACATAGGAGGTTCCAAGGATCACGAATCATATGAACAAGTGATACTCTTACTCTCTGCAGACCTGGAAAGCTGGCAGAGTCATTCCACAATGAAACATTTGTAGAATCATAGGCCTTGTTAGTCTCATCTCCATGGGGACACATATCAACACATCATCTTTCATAATATAAATATACGGTCACTCCTCCATATCTGCGGGGTTTACAGGTGTTTATTGAACCAAGTATAAATCAAAAATATTGAGAGAAAGTATCCACAGAGTTTCAAAAAGCATAACTATGTTGAATGGACACAAATGAAGCTGTGTGTAGGCTGTATCAGGAATTATAAGTAATCTAGAGATGATTTCATGTATACAGGAGGATGTGCATAGGTTATTTGCAAACGCTGTGCCATTTCATATAAGAGGCTTGAGCATCTACAGATTTTGGTATCTGAGTGGAGATCTCAAAACCAATCACCCACGAATAGTGAAGGATGACCGTATATGACTTTTATTTCTCAAATTTAAATATAAATCATAAAAAATGTACAACTAGATAAAAACTAAGAAGTGTTTTTATAGTGTGAGTTAGATTTATTTTTTCCTAGGTGTAACCAATTGGTTTAATATTATTTATTGAGAAGACATTCTATGCCACCTTAAACCACACGGCAGCCTTTGTCAACTCTAAAGGGACTGTGTGTACATGGATGTATTTTAGACACTGTTTCTGCTAAGGGGCTCTCTGTGTCCACACTCTTGATGATGCTGCACTTTATGTAGCCTTATAGAACCCTTTAAATTTAGTAGCCAGAGCCCTCTAATTTGTTATTATAGGCTGTTTGCTTTTTTTTTCTTGAGGCGGAGTCTTGCTCTGTCGCCCAGGCTGGACTGCAGTGGCACAATCTCAGCTCACTGCAACCTCCGCCTCCCAGGTTCAAGCGATTCTCGTGCCTCAGCCTCTTGAGTAGCTGGCGTTACAGGTGCCTGCCACCAGGCACGGCTAATTTTTGGATTTTTAACAGAGACACGGTTTCACTATATTGGCCAGGCTGCTCTCAAACTCCTTATCTCAGTTGATCCGCCCACCTCGGCTTCCCAACGTGCTGGGGAAAACTTGATTTTCTATAGCATTATGTTACTGGATATTTCTGTAAAATTTAAAACGAGGGAGGGAGAGAGACAGACAGAGAGCAAACTCCAGAGTTGGGACTCTGGAATCTTGGGTCATGAGACAAATTTTAGATTAAACTACAAAACTCCAGAATTTACAGGTGTGGTTTTTGCTGATAAAGTACAATTCTAAGATTGTAAATAATTGCATAATCCTTCCCTGGGAATTTAAATCATTTTAGCTGGTTCTGCTGTAATACTAGAAATACAAGCATGAAAAATTCTAATGGTTTATTAGTCACAATGACTCCGAAAACATTAATAATACCTATTAGATACTTTGCATATTACACAGGAAGAAGAGTTTGAATCTCAGATAAAAACAAAAAAAATACATGAAAAGTCTTTCATGTTAGCACAGATTTTAGGCATCTCGTGTTCGGATAAAAATACATGAAAAGTCTTTCACGTTAGCACAGATTTTAGGCATCTTGTGTTCGGGAGGTTGGATCTGAGACGTGTTGTGAGTTGGTCATAGTGAAGGACGTGAGGTGCCAATTCTAGTGAGAACAATTTCCAGGAAGCCGTGTTCCGCTCTTGAGCAAGCATCCACTGGGCCTCATGCAAGGTAGAAAGAGCCTGCGTACGTCACCCTCCCATGATGTAGTCAACATGTAAGCTGCATGGGCAGGGCGCCAAATAACATCCTGTGCGCTGCTGAGCTGAGCTGGGGCGCGGCCGCCTGTCTGCACCGGCAGCACCATGTCGCTCATGGTCGTCAGCATGGCGTGTGTTGGTGAGTCCTGGAAAGGAATAGAGGGAGGGAGTGCCACATCCTCCTCTCTAAGGTGGCGCCTCCTTCTCCCCCAGGTGGTCAGGACAAGCCCTTCCTCTCTGCCTGGCCCAGCCCTGTGGTGTCTGAAGGAGAACATGTGGCTCTTCAGTGTCGCTCTCGTCTTGGGTTTAACGAATTCAGTCTGTCCAAAGAAGACGGGATGCCTGTCCCTGAGCTCTACAACAGAGTATTCCGAAACACCGTTTTCATAGGCCCTGTGACCCCAGCACATGCAGGGACCTACAGATGTCGGGGTTCACACCCACACTTCCTCACTGGGTGGTCAGCACCCAGCAACCCCCTGGTGATCATGGTCACAGGTCAGAGGGCTCCTGTCTGGGATTCTCCTTGTCCCACCTCCTGAGTCCCAGAGCTTCTGGTGGGAGTGTCCACCAGCGTCCCATCATCCAGACCCTAACTGTATTTGGGGTAAAAGGGGATTGAATACAGGGAAATGGGTGCTGTGGTGGAAAGAATAATTGTCCCCAATGATGACTGCATTCTAATCCCTGCAGTCTGTGACTATTTATGTTATAGGGGAAGGCACTGAAGGGGAAGATGGAGCTCAGGTTGTTGAGTTGACCTTGAGATGGGGAGACAGCCTGGACTGTCCTGCTGGGCTCAGTGTAATCACAAGGGTGCACATGAGAGGAGAAGGAAGAGGGGAGTGGCGATTAGAGCAGTGCAATGGAAGTCTCCATCAGCTTTGAAGGTGGAGGAAGGCCATGAGCCATGAATGCAGGTGGCCTATAGAGGCTGGAAAAGTCAAGGAACTGATTCTCCTGGGTCTCCAGAGGGAACGCAGCCCTGCAGATGCCTTGATTTTAGCCCTCAAAAAACAGGGTCCGATTTCTGTCTCCAGAAACGGAAGGGGTCAGTGTGCTCTCTCCTGCTGCCATGCTTCTGATAATTTTCCACAGCACCAACAGGAAACCAACACTGGAACCCAGGTCAAGGACAAGATAAGAAAGGACACAAGGATAGCCGGGCGTGGTGGCAGGTGCATGTAATCCTAGCAACTCAGGAGGCTGAGGGCAGGAGAATCACTTGAACCCAGGAGACAGAGGTTGCAGTGAGCCTAGACCACACCACTTCACTCCAGCCTGGGTGAAGGAGTGAGACTCTGACTCCAAAATTAATTAATTAATTAAAGAAACCAAACAAAGAGAAGGTTGGCTACACCGAGATCAGCAAGGGTGGGATGATGATGCCACCACCAGGCTCCATCCACATAGGGAGGGGTTGATACTCCTCAAACCAGCACCAGAAGCCAGCCTATGGAAGCTGGCACCATGGAGAAGGCACAGGCATGGCAAGAGTGGCTCCCAGTCCCCACCAGGAACAGGGTGTGTGGACACTGGTGCCTGCCTTACTGATCAGTTCATACCTTCTGCCAAGGATTCCAATTCGTCCAAAAGAGATTGAACCAGTCTGCTAAGAGCCTGGACGTGCAGCCTATCCTGGTTCCTCTTCCACCCCCACATAGAAGCAGGAAAGACATTAGTTCGAAATAGATACAACAGCCCAAGAGATGAGGCTGAGCCCAGCGGCAAGGGAATCAGGAGCTACTAGAGACAGAGGGACAGAGAAGAGGGAGGGAGACAGATGGAAGGACCTGTACCAGGAGTTATGGGCACAGAAAAGAACATGAAGACACAGAGAGGAAGGAGAGAGATAAGACACCAGCGAGGGGAAGCCTCACTCATTCTAGGTGCCATGGATGGGATGATAAAGAGAGATGCCTTCTAAAGTCACAACCTCTCTTCCTAGGAGTCCACAGAAAACCTTCCCTCCTGGCCCACCCAGGTCCCCTGGTGAAATCAGAAGAGACAGTCATCCTGCAATGTTGGTCAGATGTCATGTTTGAGCACTTCCTTCTGCACAGAGAGGGGAAGTTTAATGACACTTTGCGCCTCACTGGAGAGCTCCATGATGGGGTCTCCAAGGCCAACTTCTCCATCGGTCGCATGACGCAAGACCTTGCAGGGACCTACAGATGCTACGGTTCTGTTCCTCATTCCCCCTATCAGTTGTCAGCTCCCAGTGACCCTCTGGACATCGTGATTACAGGTGAGAGTGTCTGGACATTATTCTCATTGTCACTGGGACACAGAGTGAATGATCCACGACTTGGAGGCCCAGGTGGTTATAAGGAAGATGAGCTTGGTATTCTTATGGAGAGAGACTAACTTGGTGAGGTCTGTACCAACAGAGACAGAGAAACAGGAGACACAAGTACAGACCAGGTGTCATAACAGAGGACAGACACAGGGGCCATACAGGGAGTTAGAAAAGACAGAAAGAGTTAAAGGAGACACAGACAGACATGTGCCAGAGAGAGGTGTCCTTCCATGCTGACTTTGCTCAGAGACCTGGCACAGGTTAGAAGTTTCATTTCTGTTTTACTTCCACAAAGTGTTCTCTACCAGAAGAACCCAAGGACACCCATATTTCTGGCCTGAGTTGGGCCCTGTGGCCTCAGGCCTTCTGGCACCTACAGATGCCGTGTTTATTCTGACACCTCTGCCTTCCATGCAATGGAGAGTAATCGTCCCAGGATATCATGGCCCCAGAACATCAACCCCTGTATACTGTGTGAACTTGCGGTCCCCAGACTGGATTCTGAGGCTCACATTCCAAATAACCCCACATATGAGAGGATCACTGAGAGACACAGAGAGAAATCAGGGACACCAAAAAGCAAAGACATAAACACACAGAGAATGAGCCAGAGGAAGGAGATTGAGAGACTCACAGACACATAAAGAGGGAGAAAAGAGGGCAGAGAAGTGGAGAGAACAATGGAAGGGAACAGAGAAAAGCACTAAAATTAGAGTCCTGAGGGAGAGACACAAGGACATAGAAAGATGGAGATGTGGGGATGAATTGCAGAGATTCCAAAGAGAACTAGAGAGACCGAGAGGCAGAGCAAGACAGATGATAGATGGATAGATATAGATAGATGATAAATAGGTAGATGATAGATAATAGGTTATAGATACATAGATGATGATTGATTCATTCATTGATTAATCGATGATACATAGAGATGATGAAGATGAAGATAGATAGATAATACATAGAGATAGAGAGGCAGACAAAGAGAAATCATAGAGAGAGAGAGACGATACATAGATATAGATAATAGATGATTTTTGGATAGACAATTGATAGATAAATAGATTATATATAGATATAGATGACAGGTAGAGAATTTGTAGATAGGCACCAAATAGATAAATAGATATATCGATAGATAATAGATAGAAATATGCAGAAAGTTATGAACAGGACACAAAGTGAGAAACTCAGAATTTAAAAAAAGTAACATCAAGTCAACTAGTCCAAGGAGAGTCAGAGAGAATAAAACAATCCAAAAAGGGAAAACATATCTAGAGGTGAGAAAGTGAGGTCAGAGACCTAGAGAGACAGAGAAGGTGGAAAGAGGAAATAGACATAAAGAGAGATGGTGTGGAGGGTGAGACAGAGAGAGAGAGCATTAGGCCATAGAGCAGGGGAGTGAGTTCTCAGCTCAGGTGGGAGGGGAGTTGTGACAAGGAAGAACCTCCCTGAGGAAACTGCCTCTTCTCCTTCCAGGTCTATGTGGGAAACCTTCTCTCTCAGCCCAGCCGCGCCCCATGGTTAAGGCAGGAGAGAGCGTGACCTTGTCCTGCAGCTCCCGGAGCTCCTATGACATCTACCATCTATCAAGGGAGGGGGAGGCTCATGAACTTAGGTTCCCTGCAGTGCCCAAGGTCAATGGAACCTTCCAGGCCAACTTTCCTCTGGGCCCTGCCACCCACGGAGGGACCTACAGATGCTTCGGCTCTTTCCGTGACTCTCCCTACGAGTGGTCAGACCTTAGTGACCCACTGCTTGTTTCTGTCACAGGTGAGGAAACCAGTCTGTTCCCCAAATAGTGGGACTCAGATGGACTACAATGGCCACATTCAGGGGAGCCTCAGATGGAGGGGGTGGCCATGGGGGTGTCAGCCAGAGATGCTGGACAGAAGAGACACAAAGCAAACATACAGAAAGAGGCATAGACAGACAGACAGAGCGAGGCAGACAGATCACATTAGGGTTTGGGGTGGTAACTGCAACCCTACCTGAAGCTTGCAGATAGAGCACAGGCCACATAAACCACTTCCCAGTCTTTGTACAGAAGCCCACCTGGGACACATGTAAACAGCATCAATGCTGACTCAGGAGCATGAAAGGCCGGGCTCAGATTGGAAAGACTAGAGGTAGCATTGGCCGCCCGCCATTGCCCATTTCCAGAAGCCCCCACCTCTCACCAAAGAGTGATTTCCACATGGGGGGCACAGATGCAACCATCGTTGGGGGAGCCCCAATGTCTCTTGATGGGAGGCATTTTCCACCCTAGATGTTTTTTGCTCTCTCCACACCTTGGAGACTCAGTGGGGGAGTCTTCTCTGGGGACTCGGGGAGGGCCTCCCTGGGACTCGCAGGATTTCCAAGCTAGATGACAACATGACAGGTGGAAACAGGCCCATTCCTTCGCCAGGGGCCCCAAGCTCCATCCCAGGAGATGAGAAGAGGCTCTTCTCATTGGTCAGTGGATCCCTGAGGGGACAGAGGCTCAGCACTGAAGGCTGAGAAGGATCTGCCACTTCGCTCAGTGGCCTCAAGCCAGACATCTTCCCTACAGACTTGCAGTGATTCTCCATCAGCATTTAGGGCTGTGGCCACCAACCTGGGTGTTGGTCTGTAGGAACTTTTCATTTCTGACCTTCCATAACTGAGTTCTCTTCCTAAATGTGGAATGCCTTGTACTCCATGTTACTCTCTCCCCAGAAAGAATGTGTGGCTTGTCTGCTCTCCAGCCCTGTCATGGAGATTGATAATCCTTAGGGAGCAAGAGGAGAGGGAAAGAACAAAGTATGAGACCACCTAGGTGCTACTGGTTGAGGTTCCATTTGCCAGTGAAGGGACTTCACTCAGCCGAGGGGGCAACTCAGGGAAGTCAGCCGAGGGAGGGCATTAGAGTAGAGAGAACTGAGCTCACCCAGTAAATGACCCCTTCACTAACTCATTCATCTAATATTTATTTCACACCTACCATCAGTTCTCTCTGTTTCACGGCCAGGAGTAGACAGCACGGCCAAGCTCCTGGGTTCATGATGCTCACATTGCTGTGGGGTGGGAGAGAGAGGCAGAACATGAATGAATGAATGAGAGAATGAATGAATGAGTGAATGATGGAATGAGTGAATGAATGAATGAATGAATGTATGAATTAGTGAGTGAATCCTTAGCACTTGGTGAAAGTGCCATGCACAGAATGAAATGAATGAACGTGGAACGTTGTCATTTGGAGTGTACAGGAGGGAACGTCTCACTGAGACCTCATCAGAGAGATCACATTTAAACTCCGATCTTAGAGACAAGAGGGAGTGAGCCCTGGGGAGTGTGTTGAAAGGAACTTTCATGGACTTAGGACATTGGGGATGACCCTAATGTGAGAATGAGCTTGGTGTGTTCCAAGAAGTCCATGGACCTGCCATATGGTGAGGGCTGGTCAGAATCCAGAGAGATTTCTAAATGCCCTTGTGCTTGTAAGGAAAGTGAGTCCTGTGGTTGGGAGTGGACTTATACCTTGGGTCAGGTCCAGCAATTATCTTTCTAAATCCTCTCTAATTGCCTGAACCACTTCTATCAACAACTGAGAAAAGAGGAGTGTTAAACACCCCACTGTGGCCGTGGATTTGCCTACCTGTCCATTTATTTCCGCGACTCTTCCTCCATGTATATTTGCAGGAATATTACTGGGAGTGGTTAAGTGTAAACTGATTATATATTCCTGGTAAATTTAAAATGCTATAAATTTACCTGCTTTTTTCCTACATTTTATGCTTAATGTTTTCCGCTGATTTTTCCCAAAGACTAATTTTGTCTAATTTTAATATAGTTATACCACATTTCTAACAGTGATTGCTTGGTATATTTCTACATTGTTTAATTTCAAACTCCATGAATTGTTAACATTGAGATGTGTCCTTTGTAAATTTCAAACAATTCGCCTTAGAAAGTAAGACTTTCTGACAATCTTTTGTTCATGTTTGAGCAGTTCTTCCAATCATATTTTTGTTATTATTACGTTGTGTTTTCCTGATTCCCTTTTTTTCCCACTGACTTCTGTGGTTTTCTATTTCAAACATTCTATTTTTGATCTATGTCGTTTAGGAATACATATATGGTGTACTCATCCTGAAGTTGTTACATATTTTTAAAATTGAAATTAATCATTTCAGAGATTAAACTGCAAATATAAAAACATATTTCCACTCTTCCTGTGTAAGAACAGGATTTTAGAGCATATTTAGTACATATGTTTGTATTTACTTATATGATGTTTTGTTTTGTGGTATACATAATTCTATCTTTTTCAGAAATTACACAGGGGCGTGTTTTCATACACTATCGTATGGTCCATATTCATTTTTGGCATAGCCATATTTTTAGTTCTTCCTCTGCTCTTAGTTATTGTCAGAATCTTCGACACCCCATCTGGTTTCACTTTCTTTATCTTTGAGGCACGGTCATCAGAATTTCCTTTAGGGTCAGTGAGAAAAGCTTTCTTTGCCCTTTTGTCTTTCAGTTCTGTTTCTTTCCTGCGTTGATCTTGGACAGTAACTGTACTATGTAAGGAATTGTCGGTGGCTGGCGACGGTATCTTAGCTGGGTAAAGATGCTATTCTACTGGCTTATGTTTTCCTTTTTTCTGTGGGGAAGACAATGCTTGGCTCCCTATAAATCCTTACCAGCTGATCCTTTTCCTCTGGCTAATTTTAAGGGTTGGTTGTGCTTTTATGCTGCTTTTCTGTAATGTTGAACGTGAGGTGTGTTTACTTCATTCTGCCTGGCATTCACTGGATTTCTTGAACCTGTGGATTGATGGATGTGTCTACTTCCTCCAAATAATCAACAATTGCCTCTTTAAAGATTGCTTCTGACCTGTTTTCTCGTTCTTTCTTTTTGGAACTCAAGTTAGGAGCATTCTAAAACTGTTGTCAATTTTTACCCTGTCACAAAACTGCTCTTTCTTGTTTCAGTTATTTGCTTTTTCTGTGCATTAATATTGATGGTTTCCTCTGTCATAGAGGATAAATACTCTCTTCACTGTTGTGTACACAACATTTTAACTAGTTATTCTGGTTTAAATTTAATATTGACTTTATCTACATATCACAATTGATTACTGTGTACAGACTTTCTTTTCTATTAGTATAAATTTATGAGGTACACTTGTAATTTTGTGACATGAGTATGTTGCAGAGTAGTGAAGTCAGGACTTTTACTATATCCATCACCCAAATACCGTACATTGTACTCATTAAGCAAATTCTCATCACTCACCCACGTCCCGCCACCCTCCAGCCTTCTAGCCTCCGCTGTCCGTCATTCCACACTCTACGTCCATATGTACACATTACTCCCCTCCCATGTAGAGTGAGAAGATGTGGTATTTGTCTTTCTGAGTGGTTTTATGTAAAATAATGGCGTCCAGCTCCATCTATGTTGCTGCAAAAGACATGGTTTTATTTTTATGACCAAATAGTATTTCGTTGTGTATACACGCATCCTTTTTTTAATCCAATCATTCATTCACAGACACTTAGATTGATTTCATATCTTTGCTATTGCAAACAGTGCTGCAATAAACATACAGGTGCAGGTATTTTTTGAGTAGATACCCAGCAGCGGGACCCCTAGATCGAATGGTGCTTCTATTTTTGGTTCTCTGCCAAATTTCCATACTGTCTTCCATAGAGGCTATACTAATTTACATACCGGCCAACAGTGTATAAGAGTTTCCTTTTCTCTGCATCCTTGCCAACACCTGTTATATGTTTCACTTTTTCTTTTTTTCTTTTTGAGATGGAGTCTTCCACTGTCACCCAGGCTGGAGTGCAGTGCCGCCATCTCCACGCGCTGCAACCTCCACCAACCAGGTTCAAATGATTCTCCTGCCTCAGCCTCCTGAGTAGCTGGGATTACAGAACCACACCACCATGCCCAGCTAATCTTTTGTATATTTAGTAGAGATGGGGTTTCACTATGTTGGTCAGGCTGGTCTCAAACTCCTGACCTCATGATCCACCCGCCTCAGCTTCCCAAAGTGCTGGGATTACAAGCGTGAGCCACCACTCCCCACCAGCATTTTTAGTAATAGCCATTCTGACTACTGTAAGATGATATCTCATTGTGGTTTCAATTTGCATTTCTCTGATGATTAGTGATGTTCATACGCTGTTTGGCCATTCGTATGTCTTCTTTTGAAAAATGTCTATGTATATCCCTTTGCCCACTTTTTAATGCTATTATTTGAGGGGTTATGTTTAGTTGTTTGAGTTGCCTAGAAATTCTGGATGTTAGTCCTCTGTTGGGTGCATAGTTTGCAAACATTTCCATTCATTCTGTGGGTTGTCTGTTCACCCTGCTACTATTTCCTTTGCTTGGCAGAAGCTCTTTCGTTTATTAAGTCCCATTGGTCTAGTTTTATTTTTATTGCCTGTGCTTTTGAGGTCTTAGTGATGAATTCTTTGCCCAGACCAATGCCCAGAAGAGTTTCTCTTTGGGTTTCCACCGGTGATTTTATAGTTCTGGATTTACATTTAAGCTGCTAATTACCTTAAGTTAATTTATGTGTATGATTACAGATACAGGTCCAGTTTTATTCTTCTGCATATGGCTATTTAGTTTTCCCAGCACCTTTTATTGAAAAGGAAATCTTTCTCCAGTGTATGTTTTGTTAACGTCGTCAATGATTATTCACTGTAGATATGAGGCTGTATTTCTGGGCTCTCTATTCTGGTCTATTGATCTCTGTTTCTGTGTCTATACCAGCACTGTGCTATTTAAGTTACTATAGCCTTAGAGCATAGTTTGAAGTCAGATAGCGTGATGCCTCCAGGTTTCTACATTCACCTAGAATTGCTTTCTCTATTAGGATCTTTTTTGGTTCTGTATGAATTTTAGGATTGCTTTTTCTAATTCTGTGAAAACTGGTGTTACTATTTTCATATAAGAATTGCACTGAATCTGTAGATTGCTTTAGGCAGTATGGTCATTTTAACAATATTAATTCTTATGATCCATGAGCGTGGGATTTTTTTTCTTTTTTTTTTTTTGTATTATCTATAATTGCTTTCATTGGTGTCTTACACCTTTCCTGGTACAGATCTTTCACCACCTTGGTTAAATGTATTCCTGAGTGTTTTAATTTTGCGTATCTATTGTAAACGGCATTGCCTTCTTGATTTGGTTCTCAGCTAGATCATTATAGGTGTAGAGAAATGCTACCGGCTTTTACATATTGATTTTGTATTCTGAAACTTTACTTAGTTCATTTATCAATCATAAGAATTTTTGGCAGGGTCTTTAGGATTTTCTAGATTTAAGATCATAGCATCAGAAATAAAAATAATTTTACTTCCTCTTTTCTAATTTGGATTTTTAATTCTTCCTGTTGCCCAATAGCTCTGACAAGGCTTCCAGTACTATGTTGATAGGAAGTGGTGGATGTCCGTGTCCTTGTCTTGTGCCAGTTCTCAGAGGAGTGCTTTTAACTTTTCCTGTTCAGTATGATGTTGACTCTAGATATGTCATCTATGGCTTTTATTATTTTGAGGTATGTTCTTTCTATGCCTAAGTTTTTGAGGGTTTTCATCAGGTAAGGATGTTGAATTTCTTTTCAGATGCTTTTCTTTATGTCTATTGAGATGATCATATGGTTTTTGTTCTGGATTCTGCTCGTTCTTCTAAGTGGATGAGACATGCCAGAAAAGCATTTAGTCAGCCATCTTGGAAACAAGCATCTCAGATGTTTTCTTTCTCTATAGCTCATTCTTTCTTACCAGTGTTTTCAATTTTGTACTTAATTTTGTAAAGAGAGTAAATGATATAATTTCCACATATGTTTCCTCTGCCAAATCAGACTCACTATGCTTCCTTTCCTTGTATACATAACCTACCCAGCAATACACACAAACATTTATTGCTTTGGAGAATTAGTTTGGGAACATTTTTGAAATGTACAAAAAAATGTATATCTTCAAAAGAAATTTCTTTTTGTGGCAAAAGACTTCTGAAGGTGCTCATGATGATATAGGGAGAAGAGGGGTTCTGGACAGGAAGAATTTTATGAAGGTGAGATGGGGAAATAGCTCCATTTCAGAGCTTCTGGGGAGAGAGGGGCCTGGCCCACATGGAAAGGTCTCTGATCTTACCCCCACCCTCCAGCCCCTGTTCTCCAGAACTATACTGTGGAGAGTTCCATCAGGATTGTTGTGGCTGGTCTGGTCTTCCTGGCTCTTTTGGCAATGCTGGCTAAGACCTGGTGGAGACATGAGGGGCCACAGGTGGAAATGGAAGAAACATGACTGAAGCTGGCTGGAGTGAATGGCGCGACATTCTGTCTGTGGGAGATTGGCCAGATGGGTTTCAAGTGTGTTGTATCAGCTGTGACTTTTAGTAATGTTCTTGCTACCACAATATCCACTCGTCCATCCCGAATAATTGTGATGAAATATTGTCCTTGGGATAATATTCATTTGCTAAAGACAGGGATGATACCTCAAGGTGCCACTATATACATCGAGGGGATCCACAAAAGTCCATTCAGTAAAATGTAGTTGGCATCTTAGGGTAGGTTGATTCCACCTCTAAAAAAGTAGGTACAACATCAGGTTGATTTTTCCGAAGAAAAGTGGTGATTGGCCATCTTTAGTCTCAATGTAAACGGTAATACTGATGAGTGTGGAAAAGGCAGGGAAGAGGATTGACAATAAGTGACACTCATTGTTTTCATCTGAGCTTTGAGACTGAAAGAGGAACACAGGAGTGAGATGTATGGGAACAAACCCCTTCTTTTTCCAGCTAAACAGAGTGGAAGTTGGACACTGAGTTTTGGCGTACAGCAAAATCCTAAGTCCATTGTTGGGTTGAACACGGCCATGTTGTACATCCTGGTTTCACAGCAGACACTGGAGGAAAACAGCCTGTATTCATAAGAGGCTGTCCCTCGGGTCACTGCCCAGAATATCCGGAGTTGGTGCTCACAGGGTTGGGAACTCTCCTGGACCAGACAGGCTCTGGATATGGGGGGGTACCAAGCTCCCCGGGGCCATGCCTCCACAGCTCTCTTCTCACCTCATTCTTGACCATTTCCCAAACCTCTGACCTCACCTTCATTCATCCATGGTGAACACGCTAAAACTGGCCTTCAAAGCTTGAGACAGAGGAAAATTGGGCTTCATCTCTGGGAACTAAATTGGGGAGTGGAGACTCAGTTCTGGCCTGACAGGAGGGAGAAGACCCTGGATCCCAGTGTGGATGGGAAGAAGTATGTGTTTCTCTTTTGTGCTTGGACCCTGTGTCCAAGCATGTCTGAGATGTGATGAAGATGAATCTTCCTTTCCTTGTCTATTTTCTCATGCCAGAGAATTGGAATCTTATATTCCATTAACTCTTTCTGTTCTGTTCATCCAGATTCTATGAAGGAGAAAGGAAAAGATGTGATACTGTAATTTTGCTCCATTTGTCTAAAATGAGTAGGCTGCAACTCCTCTTGAAGTGATACCTTTTCTAGCTCTTGTTGGAGGTGTCTCAGGACTCATTACTTCGGGGAACCTGCAACTGTGTCAGTCTGGGGAAACTGCAAATATTCTTGTCTTACATTTGTCTCCAGCCAATTGTGATGGACTCCAGTGACCTGCAATTGCTGTTATTGCAGGTAAAATGTACCTGAGTCAGGCCACAGTTCTCCTGGACTATGAGCCCCTGGCCATGTTCCTGAGGCAATTCTGTTCATCTAAATATAATAATAATAACACACTAAAAATGGCAAGCCATTGTTAATTCCTGAAGTCTCATTTGAAAATTACTAAATGTCTGTTATTTTTTGGTGTTTACATTATATGTAGACAGATAAACTACACACACACACACACACACACATGCACACAGAAGAATGGATTGTTTCATGTAGAAAAGTAAATAATTCAAGATGAAAGGATGAAATGTCATGGCACCTACTATTCTATTTTAGATAAAGGGTCTATGAAAAGATTGATTTCTTTTTATGTTTTATTTGTTGACATTTGAACACAAACTATGTAAGTGAGGGAGTCGATTTGAAAGGGAGAAGAGCAAGTTCAAACACATTCAGGTGAGGTCATGCTTTACATGTTTTAATTGAAATGATCCATCTTGGGAGTAGATCAATAACTGAGATGGTGCCAGGAATGTTAAAAAGCTTTTGTCAGTCCTAAATATTGACAAATAAAATTTAATTAAAGTCTTAGAAGAAAACACAAAGGAAAACTTCACAACATCGGATTTGGCAGTGATTCTTTAGATGTGACAACAACGGCACAGGCTACTACAGAAAAAATAAACAAGTTAGACTTTATGAAAATTTTGAAATATTGTGACTCAAAAGACAACATCAGTTACTTCACATGGCAAGGAAAAAGAACTTTTAAGACGATATTATCAAAGTAAAAAGACAACCCACAGAATGGGAGAAAATGTTTTCAAACCACACCACCTGTAAGGGATTAACATCCAGAATATACAGACAACTCCTAAAACTCAATCACAATAAACTCAATTCAAAAATGGGCAAAGTACTGAAACAGACATTTCTCCAAAGAACATACGCATGAAAAGATATTCAGCATCACGAATCATTAGGGAAATACTAACTAAAACTACACCAGATGCCATTTCATACCCCTTAGGATGGGTATCATCAAAACAACAACAACAACAACAACAAAGTTTCTATACATTAACAACAAACTATCCAAAAAAGTTTACAAGAAAATAAGCCCATTTGCAATAACTACAGAAAACAAAACATGCAGGAATAAATTCACCCAAGGAGTAGAAAGATCTGTATGCAAAAGCTATAAAACATTGATGAAAAAACTCAAGAAATAAACAAATAAATCGAAAGATATTCCATGTTCACGGATCAGAAGGATTAATGTTGTTAAAATGTCCATTCTATCCAAAGTGATTCAATGCAACCATTATCAAAAATCCAATGACATTTTTTTTACAGAAATAGAAAAAACAGTCCTAAAATTCATGTGGAACCACAAAAGATCTCAAATAACCAAAGCCATCTAGAGGGAAAGGAACAAAGTTGGAAGCATCACATTACCTAAACACAAACTACATTACAAAATTACAGTAATTAAAACAACACAGTACTTGCATAAAAACAGACACATAGACCAATGGAAGTGATTCATAGCCCAGGAAAAAAATGCATGCATTTAGGGTCAAACAATTTTTGGGATGTGTCAAGAACACACAATGGAGAAGGAACAGTCTCTTTAATAAATGGGATTGGGAGACTGCATGTCCACATGCAGAAGAATGGAAGTGGACATTTGCCTCACAAAACATACAAAGTCAACTCAAGATAGATTAATGACTTAAATGTAAGATGAAAGACTATAATCCCAGCAATTTGGGAGGCCAAGGTGGGCAGATCACCTAAGGTCAGGATTCCAAGACCAGCATGGCCAACATGGTGAAATCCCGCCTCTACTAAAAATACAAAAACAGCTGGGTGTGGTTGTGGGTGCCTGTAATCTCAGCTACTCGGGAGGTTGAGACAGGAGAATCACTTGAACCCAGGAGGTAGAGGTTGCAGTGAGCCGAGATCGCACCACTGCACTCCAGCCGGGGCAACACAGTGAGACTCCATCTTAAAAAAAAAAAAAAAACTACTAAAAGAAATCAAGGGAAAACTCCACTGGCTTGGGCAAAACCATTTTGGATATTAACCCAAAGGCCCAGGCAACAAAAGCAAAAGTAGACAAATAACATTATATCAAATTGAAAGTTTCTGCAAAGAAAAAAAAAACTCAACAAGTGGAAAGACAACCTATGGAATGGGAGAATATATTTGCACCCATACATCTAATAAGGAATTAATATCCAAAATATATAAGAAACTCAAACAACTCAATGGTAAGAAATCAAATAACCCAACTTAAAAAAATGGGCAAAGTATCTGAATAAACATTTCTAAGAATAAGACAAATCACCAAAAGGTATATGAAAAAATGATTAGCATTACTAAACATCAGCTAAATAAAAATTAAAACTAGAATGAGATATCACCTCACACCTCTTAGAATGACCATTAACAGTCTGGGCATGGTGGCTCATGCCTGTAATTCAGGCACTTTGGGAGGCCGAGGCAGGGAGATTACCTGAGGTCAGCAGTTCGAAACCAGCCTGGCCAATATGGTGAAACCCCATCCCTACTAAAAATACAAAAATTAGCAGAGTTTGGTGGCGCACACTTGTAGTCCCAGCTACTCTGGAGACTGAGGCAGGGGAATCGCTTGAACCCAGGAGGCAGAGGTTGCAGTACACCGAGATTGTGCCACTGCACTCCAGCCTGGGTGACAGAGCAAGACTGAGTCTCAAAAAAAAAAAAAAAAAAAAGACCATTATCAAAAACATAAAAAATAACAAGGGTTAACGAGGATGTGGAGAAAAGGGAACATTTGTATGCAGTTGATGGGAATGTAAATTAGCACAACCATTATGGAAAACAGTCTGGAAGTTCCTGAAAAAATTAAACATAGAATTCCCATATGTGTCTGCAATCCAACTACTGCGCATGTATCCAAAGGAAGTGGAATCAGTATGTTGAAGAGATATCTGCATTCCCATGTTTACAGCCGCATTATTCATAACAGCCAAGATGTGGAATCACCCTTACTGCCCATCTATGGGTGCATGGACAAAGAAAACGTGGTATACGATAGGAACGTAATGAAGTACTATACAACCTTTACAACAAAGAAGGAAGTCCTCTCATTTGTGACAATGTGAAAAAACTTAGAGGACATTATGTTAAGGGAAACAATCCAGGCACAGAAAGACAAATGCCACATGATCTCATGTGTGGAGTGTAAGAAGTGGAACCTAGAGGAACAGTAAAATGGTCGTCGAAAGAACCTGGGATGGAGAGAGATTGAAGAGATGTTGGTCAAAGGATGCAAAATTTCAGTTAGAAGAAATCGGTTCAAGAGATCTATTGTATGTCTTGGTGACTCCAGTTAATAGCAACATATGGTGTATTGAACATTACTAAGAGATTAGATTTTACATGTTCTCACCACACACACAAAACATACAAGTATGTGAAAAAATAAATATGATAAAGAGGTTGTTTCATCCATTCCACAATGTGTACCTATATGAAAACATCATGATGGACACCACAAATACCCTTTTCCTCATTAATTAAATTTGTTTTGGTTTTTTTTTTGAGATGCAGTTTCACTGTTGTTGCCCAAGCTGAGGTGCAATGGCGTGATCTCCGCTCACTGCAACCTCTGCCTCCCAGGTTCAAGCGGTTCTCCTGACTCAGCCTCCCAAGCAGCTGGGACTACAGTTGCGTACCACCCCGTCCGGCTATATTTGTGTTTCTAGTAGAGACAGGGTTTCGCCATGTTGGCCAGGCTGGTCTCGAACTCCAGACCTCAGGTGATCCACCCGCTTCGCCCTCCCAAAGTGCTAGATTTCAGGCTGAGACACCACACCCAGCCTGTACATTGACTTTCTGCCCTTAAACTGTGCTGAAGTTTGTTTCTCAGATGTAGGAGCCTTTGGGCAGAGACTATGGGGTTTCTAGGTATAGAAATTATCTCATCTTCAAACAGAGGTAATTTGACTACCTCTCTCTGCTACTCTCTTCTTACTTGGATGCCTTATAATTCTTTCTCTTTCCTGATGGCTCTGTCTAGGACTTCAAGTACTATGTTGAATAGGATGGTGAGAGTGGGCATTCTTGTCTTGTTTCACTTATGAAGGGAACTTCTTCCAGCTTTTACTCATTCAGTATGATGTTGGTTGTGGGTTTGTCACAGGCGGCTCTTATTATATTGAGTTATGTTTCTTCAATGCTTAGCTTGTTGAGGGCTTTTAACATGAAGAAATGCTTAGTAAAAAGTATGTTCTACATGTGTGTTGAGAAGATCATGTGGTTTTTGTTTTTAGTTTTGTTTAGGTGATGAATCACATGTATTGATTGTGTATGTTCAACCAACCTTGCACCCTAAGAATAAAGTTGACTTGATCATGGTGGATTCACTTTTTGATATGCTGCGGGATTCAGTTCTTAGTATTTTTTGTGGATTTTTGCCTCTATGTTCATCAGGAATATTGGCATGTAGTTTTCTTTTGTTTAATGTTCTTTTCTGTCTTTAGTATCAGGGTGATGCCAGCCTTATAGAATGAGTAAAGGCCACCCTGGGCAAACAGTGAGACCCATCCCTTTTTAAAAATTATGAGTTTTACAAATTTAAAATGCATAGTGAAAAAGTTCTTACAAACTCCAGAAAGATAGGTGTAAATAAGAGACATTTGTAAGAATGACAGCACATTAAATGTGTAGATTTCAACCTTCAGTTATTGCAATATTCCAGTATCAAGTTGGAGGATGTTATCAGTCTGATATTTTTTCCTCAAATGAGAGAGAGAAAGAAAGACACACAAACAACACAGGGAGAAAAAAAGCACACGTTACAGAGAGACAAAAAGGGAGACAGGGAACTGTGAATTTGGACTCTTGTGTCATAAGACAAATTCTAGATAACACGACCAGACCTTCAATTGACATATTGTGTTTTTGCTAATAAGGTGGAATTCTATGATGCGAAATAACTATATAGTCTTTTCTACTGGGATTTAAATCATTTTATCTGTTTCTGGCTTAACAGGAAAAATACAACCATGGAAAATTATGATGATTTATTTAATACGATTGCTCTATAGTGTTAATAAAACCTATTAGGTATTTTGCATATTACATATCAAGGAGAGTTTGAATCTCAGGTAGAAACAAAAAAAAATACATCAAATTTCCTCATGTGAGTGCAGAATTCAATCGTCCCGTGCAGGGGTAAGTGAGTCTGAGATGTGTTTTGAGCCTGGCCGTTGCGCATGATGTGAAGTGACAAGTCTAGTCTGCAGTTTTCAGAAACCCTCATTCCTCCCTTGACTGATTCACCACTTGAACCTCATATGACGTAGAAGAAGCCTACCTATGTCCCCTTCACATGTTGTGGTCAATGTGTCAACTGCACGATCCGGGCCCCTCACCACATCCTCTGCACCGGTCAGTCGAGCCGAGTCACTGCGTCCTGGCAGCAGAAGCTGCACCATGTCCATGTCACCCACGGTCATCATCCTGGCATGTCTTGGTGAGTCCTGGAAGGGAAGGAGCACCAGGGTTACACTATGGGCCTGCAGATTGGGTGTCTCCCCAGCAGAGAGCCATGTTCTGAAGCAAGTGAGTGGTGAGGATGAGTTAATTTTCAGTCCAGCGTGGCGCCCAGTGGCTCAGGAGGAAAGGGTAGGTTGCTGCCGAGATGAATAGTTCATCATGATCTTTCTTTGCAGGGTTCTTCTTGGACCAGAGTGTGTGGGCACACGTGGGTGAGTCCTTCCCCAAATGATGGGTTGCCATCTTCACCCCAATACAAGTGAATTTTCCAGAAATGGGAGGGAGGCAGCACAGAGGGTGGGCTGATGGGCTGACCATGGGAAGGCCTGGGGGGAGTCTCTCATGAACTAGTAAGAGGAGATCCTGGGAGTCTCTCATGAACTAGTAAGAGGAGATCCTGGGAGTCTCTCATGAACTAGTAAGAGGAGATCCTGGTATGCTCAGCCCTCTGTTTTGTCTTAGCCCTCCCCAGCCTTTCTTCCCCATGGCTGAGTTGAGCTCTGTGTGGCCCAGGCGGGATACTGAGGTGCTCAAAGCTGGGGTGTGTGGGGGGATGTGGTGTCACCGACAGAGGAGGGAAGGGTAGCAGTGTTAGGAACAGCAGGTCCTCTGAGGACAAGAGGGTAACTCACACCCTCCAGCGTTTCCATGACGGTAGGGGCTGCAGTGTGGCTGCTGTCATTCTGCCAGAAGAGGTGGGGGAACCACAGCCACGACCCTGCCATTCCAAATCCTCTGATGGAGCTCAGTTGTTTATTGTGGTTCAGGCATTAGCTAATATTCCATTCACAAAGGTCATACCCTCCACCCCATGTCTACTTTGTGTTCTTTGGTGTAACTAATCTTGCAGTATTAAAATCTAGTAAGAGTCCCTTACTCAGCACCTGCTCAGTTCTCAACTGACACTTTTGTTGTAGGGAGACGCCACGTCTATGCGGGATGGGTCCTTCCTGTAGCCCCAGGCACCCAGGTGTGGTAGGAGCCTTAGAAAGAAGAAATGGGGAGAATCTTCTGAGCACAGGGAGGGAGGGGCAGCTCAACATACTCCTCTCTGAGGCGGCATCTCCTTCTCCCCAAGGTGGTCAGGACAAGCCCTTCTGCTCTGCCTGGCCCAGCGCTGTGGTGCCTCAAGGAGGACACGTGACTCTTCGGTGTCACTATCGTCGTGGGTTTAACATCTTCACGCTGTACAAGAAAGATGGGGTCCCTGTCCCTGAGCTCTACAACAGAATATTCTGGAACAGTTTCCTCATTAGCCCTGTGACCCCAGCACACGCAGGGACCTACAGATGTCGAGGTTTTCACCCGCACTCCCCCACTGAGTGGTCGGCACCCAGCAACCCCCTGGTGATCATGGTCACAGGTCAGAGGGCTCCTGTCTGGGCTTCTCCTTGTCCCACCTCCTGAGTCCCAGAGCTTCTGGTGGGGGTGTCCACCAGAGTCCGATCATCCAGGCCCCAACTATATTTGGGGTAAAGGGGGATTGAATACAGGGGAATGGGTGCTGTGTTGGAAAGAATAACTGTCCCCATCGATGGCCACATTGTAATCCTTGGAGCCTGTGACTATGTTATAGGGCAGGGGACTGAAGGGGAAGATGGAGCTCAGGTTGTTGATGAGTTGACCTTGAGATGGGGAGATGGCCTGGACTCTCCCACTGGGCTCAGTGTAATCACAAGGGTCCATATGAGTGGAGAAGGAAGAGGAGAATGGGGATTAGAGCAGCATCGTGGGATACTCCACCAGCCACTGTGGGCTTTGAAGGTGGAGGAAGACCACGAGCCACGAAGGGGCTGGAGAAATCAATGGAACTGATTCTCCCGAGTCTCCAGAGGGAATGCAGCCCTGCAGATGCCTTGATTGTAGCCCAGGAAGAACAGGGTCTGATTTCTGTCTCCAGAAGTGGAAGGGGTCAGTGTGTTCTCTCCTGCCGCCATGTTTGTGATAATTTTCTCCAGCAACAACAGGAAACCAACACAGGAACCCAGGTGAAGGACAAGTTAAAAAACCAAACAAGAAGGTTGGCTACCCTGAGATCAGCAAGGGTGCACTGCTGATGCCACCACCAGGCTGGAACCACATAGGGAGGGATCGACAGGAAGAGTTGGGGGTGGAGGGTGAGAGAGAGAGAGAGAGCACTAGGCCATAGAGCAGGGCAGTGAGTTCTCAGCTCAGGTGGGAGGGGAGCTGTGACAAGGAAGAACCTCCCTGAGGAAACTGCCTCTTCTCCTTCCAGGTCTATATGAGAAACCTTCGCTTACAGCCCGGCCGGGCCCCACGGTTCGCGCAGGAGAGAACGTGACCTTGTCCTGCAGCTCCCAGAGCTCCTTTGACATCTACCATCTATCCAGGGAGGGGGAAGCCCATGAACTTAGGCTCCCTGCAGTGCCCAGCATCAATGGAACATTCCAGGCCGACTTCCCTCTGGGTCCTGCCACCCACGGAGAGACCTACAGATGCTTCGGCTCTTTCCATGGATCTCCCTACGAGTGGTCAGACCCGAGTGACCCACTGCCTGTTTCTGTCACAGGTGAGGAAAGCCAATGTCTGTCCCATGTCCTATGGTCCTAGAGCCTTAGCTGAGGAGCTTCCTGCTGATGATGGAGAGAAGCATGGACAGATGTGGAGAGAAGATGCAGCATGGTGTGAGGGTGGGATCAGGGCACAGGATGGCAGACAGGGCACCTCCAAACCCTCCTGCATGGCCTGCATGGAAGCTTGCAGTAAGGGCTCCGGGTACCCAGGCAGATGGAGAAAGTGGTCAGGACAGACCCAGAGGAGGGAGACTGGGCTCAGTTTGGGGAGATCAGAGGTTCCCTCAGCCCCTCAACCTTACCCATTTCCCAGAAGCCCACCCTGGCCTCTCACCTACACAGAGATGTCATCACCAGCAACCCCTACACTTTTTCTTTTCCTTTGAAAAAATGCTGATTGAGGTTAAATATACCTATATAATTTATCAACTTTACCATTTTTAAGTGTAAAATCTAGGGATCATAAATACCTTTATATGCTGTGTGCGGTGGCTCATGCCTGTAATCTCAGCATTTTGAGACGCCAAGGCAGGTGGATCATTTAAAATCAGGGGCTGGAGACCAGCCTGGCCAACATGGGGGAACCAATCTTTACTAAAAAGACAAAAAAAATAAAATTAGCCAGGCATGGTGCCAGGCGCCTATAATCCCAGCAACTTGGGAGGCTGAGGCGGGAGAGTGGCTTAAACCCAGGAGGAGGAGGTTGCAGTGAGCTGAGATCATGCCACTGCACTGCAGCCTGGTGACACAGAGAGACTCTGTCTCTAAATAAATAAATAAATACTTTTATATTCTTCTTTTGTTACCCTCCACCCCTTCCTTCCTAACCTCTGGTATCCACCATTCTACTCTCTACCTTCATGAGGTCCACCTTTTACATCCTGCATGTGAGTAAGAAATGGCAATCCTTGTAATGACCTCCAGTCCATCCATGTGGCTGCAAATGACAGGACGTTACTCTTTGTATGGATGAGTTGTCTCCATTGTGTGTATGTACTACTTTCTCTCTATCCATTCATCCACTGATGGGCAGGTAGGTTGACTCCACATCTTGGCTACTGTGAACAGTGCTGGAACAGTCATGGGAGTGCAGATGTCACTTCAATACACTGAAGTCCTTTTCTTTGCATTTACACCCACTAGTGGAATTGCTAGATCCTCTGGATGTTCTCTTTTTAGGTTTTGTTTTATGCTTTTTGTTTTTTTGACATAGCGTTTCACTCTTGTTGCCCAAGCTGGAGTGCAATGGCACCACCTGGGCTCACTGCAACCTCTACCTCCAGGATTCAAGTGATTCTCCAGCCTCAGCCTCCCGAGTAGTTGGGATTACTGGTGCCCGCCACCACGCCTGGCTGATTTTTGTATTTTTAGTAGAGACGGGGTTTCACCATGTTAGCCAGGCTGGTCTCGAACTCTTGACCTCCAGTGATCTGCCCACTTCAGCCTCCCAAGGTGCTGGGATTACAAGCGTGAGACACAGTGCCTAATCTCTTTTTAGTTTTTAAGGAACTTCCATATTCTTCTCCTCTGTAATGGCTGTATTAATTTACATTCCTATCAACAGTGTATTAGGGTTCTCCTTTCTCCACCACCTTGCCAACATTTGTTTTGTCTGTCTCTGAGATAAAACCCATTGTAATGGGGTGAGATGATAGCTCATTGTGACTTCATTTGCATTTCTCTGATGATTAGTGATACTGAGCACTTTTTCATATATGCAATGTATATATGTTCATTTGTATGTTTTGTTCATTGAGAAATGTCTGTTCAGGTCTTTTACTAATTTTATAATTAAATTATTAGTTTTATTGAGGTGTTTGAGCTTCTTTTATATTCTAGTTATTAATCCCATCTCAGATGCATAGTTTGCAAATATTTGCTCCCATTCTGTGGGTTGTCTCTTCTTCACTTCATTGGTTGCTTCCTTTGCGGTGCAGAAGCTGCTTGATTTGATATAATCCCAATGGTCTATTTTTTTGTTGTTGTTGTGATTACTTGTGTTTTTGAGGTTTTAAACAAAATGTCTTCCCTCAGACAAATGTCCTGGAGCATTTCTCCAGTGTTTCCTTTTAGACATTTAATGGATTCAGGTCTTAAGTCATTAATCCATTTTCATCTGATTTTTGTGTATGGTGAGAGGTAGAGGTGCAGTTTCATCCCTCTGCATGTAGATATCCAGTTTTCCCTGCACCATTTATTGAAATGACTGTCCTTTCCAGATTGTAGATTCTTCGAACCTTTGTCAAAGTCCATTGGATGTAAATGGGTGGATTACATCCGTGTTCTTCATTCTGCTCCATTGTTTTATGTGCTTTTCTTTATGCCAATGTCATGTTGTTTTGCTTACTACAGCTCTGTAACATATTTTTAAGTCAGGTAGTGTGATGCTCCTGTTTTCTCCTTATACCTTGAAGTCTCAAGATAGTTGGTGTCACCTACAATGATTATGGAGAATGGGATGCCAGGACTCCCAGGGCCCAACATTAGATAATAGAATGTTGGCCATGAACCAACCTCAAAGATTTCCATTGAGTAGAAGACAGGCATCCTCATTGCCACACCTCTCTCCTGTCCCGTGTTCTAGGAAACCCTTCTAGTAGTTGGCCTTCACCCACTGAACCAAGCTTCAAAACTGGTAAGTGAAGGACCCCTCTTATCTCTGCTTTTGGAAACCTGGGGAGGTAGAAGCCTTGGATTCAAGCGTTGGCTCAGCACCTGCCAGCTCTGTGATTGTGGGCCTGTCTTCCATTGTCTCTGAACCCCAGACACTCCAACAGCGAAAGGGATCTGGGCCCAGCACAGGGCTCAGTGAAATCTCTTAATCTCTAATTTTCTGCTGCTGAGACCTCAGGGTAGAAGGATGAGTGCAAATCAGACATTCTTCTCAGGAAAAATGCTGTGTTTGTTCTGCCTGCATTCCTAACTGGGAGGACAAATGCCTGGGGGCTTGAGAAGGGGAAGGAAGGGGAACATTTTTGAGGGTGGTGTATTTGTAGAGAAGTTCTACTTGCCAAGGAATGAGCTCCTGTCTGTCATGATCCAACCCTGGTTGACTTAGTGGAACAAGAGCTTTGCGGTAAGAGAGAACGTAGTTCATCCGTGCACATGACACTTCCACTTACTCGTTCAGCCACTGCCCCATGCTCAGACTGTGCAGTGTGGAACCTTTTCCTATGTTGCCATAACAAATTTCCACAAGCTTCGTGGATGGAAACCACATTTTTAAAAAATATCTCATGGTGCTGTAGCTCAGAAGTATGAAATGCATCATCTCACTGGGCTAAAATCAAGGTGACAGCAAGGCTGCCTTCCCTCTGAATGTTCCAGGCAAGAATCTGCTTCCTCACTTTTCCCAGCTCCTAGAGGCTCCCACATTCCTTGGCTCCTGGTCCCCGTCTTCCTCCCTCAAAGTCCACAAAGGCTGGTCACGCCTCTCACACGGCATCACTCAGACCCTTCTTCCTTGTCCACACCTCTTTCTCTGAATGCTGCTCTGCCTTCTTCCTCATCTTTTAAGGACTTTGGCATTCTATTGGAAACACCAAGATAATCCATCATAATTTCCCTAAAATCATCTAGGATACCCTCCTTTTAAGGTTAGCTGATTAGCAACCGTAATTCCATCTGCAATCTGCATTCCTTTTTTCCATGTAAAATAACATATTCACAAGATATGGCGACTAGGACAGGAATATTTTGGGGTGGGGCGGCATTCTTATCCTTTCCACAAATGGTAAACAAGGTGCATTTGGCCTCTGCTCTTGGACACTGATATTGCAAAGGATTAAATGGGAGGGCAGAAAATGAATGCACCAGTGGACCAATAAATGAATGATCCATTGGGAAGCATCTGTGCATGAGAATGATTGATTGATTGGTTGTTTTTATGAGACAGTGTCTCCCTCTGTGCCCCAGGCTGGAGTGCAGTGGCGGGATCTCGGCTCACCGCAACCTCCACCTCCCAGGTTAAAGCGATTCTCTACACTCAGCTTCCCGAGAGGCTGGGATTACACCCATGTCCCACCACGCCTGGCTAATTTTTTTTTGGTATTTTTTTTTAGTACAGACAAGGTTTTACCATGTTGCCCAGGCTATCTCAAACTCCCAACCTTAAGGGATCCGCCCGTCTCAGCCTCCCAAAGTGCTGAGATTAGAGGCGTGAGCCAAGGCGCCGAGCCGTATTTTAAAAGAAATAATAGATAATGCTGAGTGTATAATTTCGGGTGACAGAGAAGTTCTCACTGATCAAATAATACTTGTGACCTTAATGAAAAAAATAGATCAACCCCTGGAAGATTGGCGGAAGGATTTTCCACACAGCTGTCAGCCGTGAAGGCACAAAGGTGAAAACAATGTTATGTGGAAGGAAGAGGCTCTGCCTGAAATGCTGGGAATGACATGGGGAGAATGACAAGACGACTGTGGAGAGACAGAGAGCACACTGGGTACACAGGAAACTAAGGAGCAACAAGGAGCGTGTGTTTGATACTCACAGCCATTGGACTTACCTCGGGGCTAACTGGGAATCCCTACATGATGAATAGTGACTGACATGAAAATAAGGGAGGCCCAGGTGCATAACTGGAATCTAGGAGACTGTGGAAAAGGCAATTCCCGCCCCCCTGGTGAAATGTGGTGCTGATTTAGACACTAAATGAATGAAAGATGGACACAAGATGTGTTTGTGAGGTAGAGTAATTTGCAGGGAGGGCTTGCCTGGTTTGATTTTTCCTAATTGTTTAATCTTCACTTCATTGATTTCTTTCTGAGATTTATTTTTCCTACATGTAAATCAATACTTGGCAGAGGAGTGAGAGATACATGAGGGGTGGTGCAAAGGAAGAGACCTATTATAATATAACACACAAGGTTCTGAACGGTGGCTCACACCTGTAACCCAACATTTTGGGAGGCTGAGGAGGCTGGATCAAGTGAGATCAGGAGTTCGAGATCAGCCTGGACAACATGGTGAAACCCCATCTCTACTAAATATACAAAAACTAGCTGGGGGTGGTGGCGCGTGCCTGTAATACCAGCTATTCGGGAAGTTGAAGAAGGAGAATGGCTTCAACCAGGGAGGGAGAGGTTACAGTGAGCCAAGATCGCGTCATTGCACTGCACCCTAGGTGACAGAGTGAGACTCCATGGCAAAAAATAAAAATAAAGAATACATAAATATAATATAACATACACGAATGACAAAGGCACACCAATTCCAATCATCATTTTTCTATTTCTCTATAATGACTTCTTTGATCCTTTATCCTATCCGTAAGAAAATCAGGCGAAAACATCTTCCTTATTTGGCTTTCTGTGAGCATGAGATCATATGGAAAATGTGAAACCCACCAGCACAGGTCCTGGAATAGAGAACGTGATCTGTTCATGGCACAAAACTTGCCCCTTCACCCAAATCCCCCACCTCACCCCTACTTCCAATCACATTAATGATACAGATAGATCATGGGGAGGTAAAAACTAATATTCTTTGGAGTTCAGATCGTAGACTCAGAGACCAGTGCCAGCACTATCTCCTGGTCACCTTTTGGAGTAATTCACAGAAAGACAGGCTGTATTGAAGCAACAGATGATGGAGGGGGTGGTCTTTCCCCCAGACTCTCGGGTGGAACAGCAGCCTAATATCTGACTCCCAAGATGACAAAAGTAGCATGTTGCCCACGAGCTTCATCATTATTTCCTGGCTGTTTGATATAAGACAGCTCAACCTCACTTATGTTGATTTCAATGTCACTGTTTTTTCCTTTTCTTGGAGAATGTAATTTGTTTGAGTCAAGAGGGTTGTGGATGTAGAAACTGTAAAGCACATTCACTGTGTATCAATCCCAGTCCAGTCTTCCCAGAGAAGACTCTAAACACCTCCCATACTGCACCTGGGGCTGTGCCAATTTCTATCACTCACCATCACTCCAGGGAGACAGAACACACAGGGAATACATTACATAGGCAGGTTCATTACTTATAGATAAGCAGCGAGTGACAACAGAAACCTTCCTTTCAGGGTGAGCCAGTCCCTCAAGGCTCAGAAAAACTGCTCAGGACACATGGAGTCACTTCATGTGCACTGTAGCTGGGGGAAGCCAGAAAGCAGCCCAGCCTGGGTTTTGTACCCTGGAGCCACAGGGAACACTCAGCTAAAGCACTGCATGATGTTCTCCTCCAGGAAGAACAGGAAGACAGCCCAGGCTGTTCTGAGACGTTCCTCCTGATCTCAGGATGTTGCTGTCTTAGCCTATTTTTGTTGCTATAAAAGAACACTTGAGCCTGGGTATCTTCTAAAGAAAAGAGATGTGTTTGGCTCACTGATCTGCACGCTGTACTAGAAGCAGGACACTACCATCTATTTCTGGCTGCGGCCTCAGGCTGCTCCCACACTGACAGAAGAGAAGGGGGTCCTGCGTGTGCAGAGACCACAGAGATCACATGGCAAGAGAGGGAGAAAGGGGGTGTGATGGAGCTTCCAAGCTCTTTTTAAGAATCAACTCTCCAGGGTACTAATAGAGGGAGAACTTGCTAACCCCGTCCTCTGGGGACAGCATTAATCTATTCATGATGGATCCACCCCCATGACCAAAACACCCCTCCCAATAGGCACAACTCCCACACTGGGGATTAAATTTCAAAGTGGGGTTTGGAGGGGTCAAACATTGAAACAATAGCAGTTGTATCATCAGCACATTCTATTGTTATTATGAAAACTATAACGGAGAAAGCAGGAGAAAGCTGGGTCTCCCGCCTCGTGGGTGCTTGTCTTAAAGAGGTGTTTTATGTGGTTGCCTGGCAACCAAGAAATGAGAGACAATCCACAAAGAGGAACTGCTATGGTTAGCTTCTTATTGGATTCCCATCTTCCTCCAGGTATCGCCAGACACCTGCATGCTGTGATTAGGTACTCAGTGGCCATCATCCTCTTTACCATCCTTCCCTTCTTTCTCCTTCATCGCTGGTGCTCCAAAAAAAAAGTAAGCCTCACGAAGCAGAGGCCAGAGAACTCAGGGCCCTGTGCGGAAGCAGGATGGGAGCACGCAGGTGTGTGTTCCTCACTGGCAGGAAAGTCTCTGGCCCAAGGCAGGAGCCAGAGGCAGAGCTTTCTAGAGAGAGCACCAGACACCCTGCCCCTGCCTTCAGCTCACAGACCGTTGCCTGATTGTGAACTGTATCCTCACGTCCCCTGCAGCCACTCACATCCAGGAGAAGATTCCATGACAGGCAGAAAGTGGGAGATAGAATCAATGGGATGGGAACTGACAGCTATTCATGGAATGGGGTCTTGCACTCAGAGAGATGGAATGTCTGAGTCTGGCTGTTGGCAGCTGAGGGACCTCAGGCACCTATGGCCTCCCCCTGTGTGTTGGTATCTGTTCATGAAATGAGGACCCAGAAGTGCCCTCCCAGCTGTTTTGATTGCTTCCGTCTCCTACAGATGCTGCTGTAATGAACCAAGAGCCTGCGGGACACAGAACAGTGAACAGGGAGGTAGGTCCTCCTAGCCCAGCCTCATGGATACAGTCTTATTCCGAAATAGTCCTGAAAAATGTGAACACCCTCCCTCACTCAGGATTTCCCTCTCTCCAGGACTCTGATGAACAAGACCCTCAGGAGGTGACATACGCACAGTTGGATCACTGCATTTTCACACAGAGAAAAATCACTGGCCCTTCTCAGAGGAGCAAGAGACCCTCAACAGATACCAGCGTGTGTATAGAACTTCCAAATGCTGAGCCCAGAGCGTTGTCTCCTGCCCATGAGCACCACAGTCAGGCCTTGATGGGATCTTCTAGGGAGACAACAGCCCTGTCTCAAACCCAGCTTGCCAGCTCTAATGTACCAGCAGCTGGAATCTGAAGGCGTGAGTCTCCATCTTAGAGCATCACTCTTCCTCACACCACAAATCTGGTGCCTGTCTCTTGCTTACCAATGTCTAAGGTCCCCACTGCCTGCTGCAGAGAAAACACACTCCTTTGCTTAGCCCACAATTCTCTATTTCACTTGACCCCTGCCCACCTCTCCAACCTAACTGGCTTACTTCCTAGTCTACTTGAGGCTGCAATCACACTGAGGAACTCACAATTCCAAACATACAAGAGGCTCTCTCTTAACACGGCACTTAGACACGTGCTGTTCCACCTTCCCTCGTGCTGTTCCACCTTTCCTCAGACTATTTTTCAGCCTTCTGGCATCAGCAAACCTTATAAAATTTTTTTGATTTCAGTGTAGTTCTCTCCTCTTCAAATAAACATGTCTGCCTTCATTCTTTAGGTGACTCTTTTTTTGGCTGAAAGTTTCCAGTGTTATCATTACCATGTCCAAATAACTCCAACTGTTCTCCACTGGGTTCTCACCCCTGGACTTGGAGCTTCTGGAAGCAGGGTGGAGCCTGATTTGTCTCTGAGACTCCAATTTCCATCCAAAGATGCAGCACATAAGAGGTTCCAAGGATCGTGAATCACATGAACAAGTGATATTCTTACTCTCTGCAGACCTGGAAAGCTGGCAGAGTCATTCCATGATGAAACATTTGTAGAGTCATAGGCCTTGTTAGTCTCATCTCCACGGGGACACATATCAACACATCATCTTTCATACTATAAATATACAGTCGGTCCTCTGTATCTGTGGGATTTACAGGTGTTTATTGAACCAAATATAAATCAAAAATATTCAGAGAAAAAATCCACAAAGTTTCAAAAAGCAAAACTATGTTGAATGGACACAAATGAAGCTGTGTGTAGGCTGTATCAGGAATTATAAATAATCAAGGGATGATTTCATGTACACAGGAGGATGTGCATGGGTTATTTGCAAATGCTGTGCCATTTCATGTAAGAGGCTTGAGCGTCTGCAGATTGTGCTATCTGAGTGGAGATCCTGAAACCAATCACCCACGAATAGTGAGGGATGACTGTATATAATTTTTATTTCTCAATTTTAAATATAAAACATAAAAAAATTACAATAACAAGATAAAATAAACAAGTGTTTTATAGTGTGAGAATACGTTTAGATATATTTTTCTCTATGTGTAACCCTTGGGCCCATGTTATTTATTGAGAAGACATTCTATTCCACCTTAAACCACATGGCAGCCTTTGTCAACTATAAAGGGACTGTGTGTACACGGATGTATTTTAGACACTGTTTTCTGCTCAGTGGCTCTCTCTCTGTCCACTCTCTTGAGAATGCTGCATTTTATGCAGCCTTATACAACCCCTAAAATTTGGTAGCTGGAGTCCTCTAGTTATTTATTATAGGCTATTTGCTATGCTTTTTTTATTTTTCTTGAGGCAGAGTCTCGCTCTGTTGCCCAGGCTGGAGTGCAGTGGCACGATCTCGGCTCACTGCAACTTCCGCCTCCCAGGTTCAAGGGATTCCGTGCCTCAGCCTCTTGAATAGCTGGCATTACAAGTGCCTGCTACCAGGCATGGCTAATTTTTGTATTTTTAGCAGAGACATGGTTTCACTATATTGGCCAGGCTGGTCTCAAACTCCTGACCTCGGTTGATCACTCACCTCGGCTTCCAAAGTGCTGGGGAAATTGATTTTCTATAGCATTATGTTACTGGATATTTCTGTAAAATTTAAAATGAGGGAGGCAGAGAGACAGAGAGAGAGCAAACCATGAGTTGGAACTCTGGAATCTTGGGACATGAGACAAATTCTAGATAAATCTACAAAAATCCAGAATTTACATGTTGTGATTTTTGCTGATAAAGTACAATTCTAAGATTGTAAATAATTGCATAATCCTTCCCTGGGAGTTTAAATCATTTGAACTGGTTCTGCTGTAATACTAGAAATACAATCATGAAAAATTCTAATGGTTTATTGTCACAATTGCTCTGAAAACCTTAATAATACCTATTAGATATTTTGCATATTACACAGGAAGAAGAGTTTGAATCTCAGATAAAAACAATAAAAATACATGAAAAGTCTTTCATGTTAGCACAGATTTTAGGCATCTCGTGTTCGGGAGGTTGGATCTGAGACGTGTTTTGAGTTGGTCATAGTGAAGGACGCGAGGTGTCAATTCTAGTGAGAGCAATTTCCAGGAAGCCATGTTCCGCTCTTGAGCGAGCACCCACTGGGCCTCATGCAAGGTAGAAAGAGCCTGCGTACGTCACCCTCCCATGATGTGGTCAACATGTAAACTGCATGGGCAGGGCGCCAAATAACATCCTGTGCGCTGCTGAGCTGAGCTGGGGCGCAGCCGCCTGTCTGCACCGGCAGCACCATGTCGCTCATGGTCGTCAGCATGGCGTGTGTTGGTGAGTCCTGGAAGGGAATCGAGGGAGGGAGTGCGGGGATGGAGATCTGGACCTGGAGGTAAAGATATGGGCCTAGAGGTGGAGTTATGGGCCTAGAGGTGGAGTTATGGGCCTGAAGTGGAGATCTGGGCCTGGAGTGGAGATCTGGGCCTGGAGTGGAGATAGGGGCCTGGGGTGGAGATATGTGCCTGGAGTGGAGATCTGGGCCTGGAGTGGAGATATGGGCCTGGGGTGGAGATATGTGCCTGGGGTGGAGAGATGGGCCTGGAGGGGAGATATGGGCCTGGAGGGGAGATGTGGGCCTAGAGGTGGAGTGATGGGCCTAGAAGTGGAGCGATGGGCCTGGAGTGGAGATATGGGCCTGGAGGTGGAGTTATGGGCCTGCAGTAGAGATATGGGCCTGAAGTGGAGATATGGGCCTGGAGTGGAGATATGGGCCTAGAGGTGGAGTTATGGGCCCGGAGGTGGAGTTAAGGGCATGAAGTGGAGATCTGGGCCTGGAGTGGAGATATGATCCTGGAGTGGAGATATGGGCCTGGGGTGGAGATACGGGCCTGGAGCAGACATACAAGCCTGGAAAGGAGATATGGGCCTGGAGAGGAGATAGAAGCCTGGAGTGGAAATATGGGCCTGGAGTGGAGATATGAGCCTGGAGTGGATATATGAGCCTGGAGTTGAGATAGGAGCCTGGAGTGGAGATATGGGCCTGGAGTGGACTTACCAGCCTGGAGAGGAGATATGGGCCTGGAGTGGAGATACGGACCTGGAGTGGAGATCTGGGCCTGTTGTGTAGATCTAGGCCTGGAGGTAGAGATCTGGGCCTGGAGGCTCAGTCTCTGCACAGCCGAGATCCTTGTTCCTGGGGGCAGGTAGGCAGCGAGGGTGAGTTTACCTTCAGCCCAGCAAGGGCCTGGCTGCCAAGACGCACAGCCCAGTGGGGGCAGCAGGGTGCCCTGGTTTGCCTGCAGAGGGATGGTCCATCATGATCTTTCTTTCTAGGGTTGTTCTTGGTCCAGAGGGCCGGTCCACACATGGGTGAGTCCTTCCCCAAACCTTAGGGTGTCATCTCCCCACATAAGAGGATTTTCCTGAAATGGGAGGGAAGTCCTGTCGGGGAGTCTCTCATACACTAGGAAGAGGGGACCCTCGGATGCTCGGCCCACATTTCTGACCTTGCCTTCCCCGGCCTTTCATTCCCTTTCCTGAGTCAAGCTCTGTGAAGACTGGGGTGAGACTAGGGTGCTCCAAGATGGGTGTGCAGGGAGGAAGTGGTGTCAGCAGCAGAGAAAGAGAGGGAAGCAGTGCTAGGAACAGCAGGTCCTCTGAGGACAAAGGTGTAACTCACACCCTCCAGCGTTTCCGTGATGGTAGGGGCTGCAGTGTGGCTGCGGTCTTTCTACCAGAAAAGGTGAGGAAACCACAGCCATGGCCCTGACATTCCAAATCCTCTGATGGGGGCTCAGTTCATCAATTGGCTGATATTCCATTCACATAGGACTTGCCCTCCATGCCGTGTCTACTTTGTGTTGTTTTATATGAGTAATTTTGCAGTATTAAAATCTAGTAAGAGTTGCTTCTCCAGCAACTTGCTCAAAGTTCTCAGCTGACACTTGTTGTAGGGAGACGCCAAGTCTATGCAGGATGGGTCCTTCCTGTAGCCCTGGGCACCCAGGTGTGGTAGGAGCCTTAGAAAGTGGAAATGGGGAGAATCTTCTGGGCACTGGGAGTGAGGGGCGGCTCCACATCCTCCTCTCTAAGGCAGTGCCTCCTTCTCCCCCAGGTGGTCAGGACAAACCCTTCCTGTCTGCCTGGCCCAGCGCTGTGGTGCCTCGAGGAGGACACGTGACTCTTCGGTGTCACTATCGTCATAGGTTTAACAATTTCATGCTATACAAAGAAGACAGAATCCACATTCCCATCTTCCATGGCAGAATATTCCAGGAGAGCTTCAACATGAGCCCTGTGACCACAGCACATGCAGGGAACTACACATGTCGGGGTTCACACCCACACTCCCCCACTGGGTGGTCGGCACCCAGCAACCCCGTGGTGATCATGGTCACAGGTCAGAGGCTTTCCGTCTGGGCTTCTCACTGTCCCACCTCCTGAATCCCAGAGCTTCTGGTGGGGGTGTCCGTCAGGGTCCCATCACCCAGGCCCTGACTGTATTTGGGGTCAAGGGAGATTGAATACAGGGGAAATGGGTGCTGTGGTGGGAAGAATCACTGTCCCCAATGATGGCTACATTGTAATCCCTGGAGCCTGTGACTATTTATGTTACAGGGCAGGGGACTGAAGGGGAAGGTGGAGCTCAGGTTGTTGATGAGTTGACCTTGAGATGGGGAGACAGCCTGGACTGTCCCACTGGGCTCAGTGTAATCACAAGGGTCCACATGAGAGGTGGAGGAAGAGGGGAGTGGGGATTAGAGCAGTGTAGTGGGAGGGAGACGCTATCAGCCACTGCGGGCTTTGAAGGTGGAGGAAGACCACTAGTCACAGAATGCAGGTGGCCTCTAAGGGCTGGAGAAGTCAAGAGAACTGATTCGCTGATTCTCCAGAGGGAACGCAGCCCTGTAGACACCTTGATTTCAGCACAGGGAGAACTGGATCCAATTTCTGTCTCCAGAAGTGGAAGGGGTCAGTGTGTTCTCTCCCGCTGCCATGTTTGTGGTAATTTTCTGCAGCAGCAACAGGAAACCAACACAGGAACCCAGGTCAAGGACAAGTTAGGAAACCAAACAAGGATAGCCAGATGTGGTGGTGGGCACGAGTAATCCAACGACTGGGGAGGCTGAGGCAAGAGAATCACTTGAACTGGGGATTTGTTCAAAAGAGATTGATTCAGGCTGCTAAGAGCCTGGACATGCAGCCTGTCCTCTTCCACCCCCACATAGACAGCAGGAAAGAGATTAGTGGGAAACAGATACAACAGCCCAAGAGATGAGGCTGTCTTCACAGTGGCAAGGGAGTCAGGGGCTACTGGAGACAGAGGGACAGAGAAGAGGGAGGAAGACAGATGGAGGCACCTGCACCAGGGGATATGGGCACAGAAAAGACACGGAGATGCAGAGAGGGAGGAGAGAGACAGACACGGGGAGGGGAACCCTCACTCATTCCAGGTGCCATGGATGGGATGATAAAGAGAGATGCCTTCTAAACTCACAACTTCTCTTTCTAGGAAACCACAGAAAACCTTCCCTCCTGGCCCACCCAGGTCCCCTGGTGAAATCAGGAGAGAGAGTCATCCTGCAATGTTGGTCAGATATCATGTTTGAGCACTTCTTTCTGCACAAAGAGGGGATCTCTAAGGACCCCTCACGCCTCGTTGGACAGATCCATGATGGGGTCTCCAAGGCCAATTTCTCCATCGGTCCCATGATGCTTGCCCTTGCAGGGACCTACAGATGCTACGGTTCTGTTACTCACACCCCCTATCAGTTGTCAGCTCCCAGTGATCCCCTGGACATCGTGGTCACAGGTGAGAGTGTCTAGACATTGTTCTCATTGTCACTGGGACACAGAGTGAATGATCCAGGACTTGGAACCCCCAGGTGGTCATGAGGAAGATAAGTGTGGGATTCTTATGGAAAGAGAGTGACTTGGTGAGGTCTGTACCAACAGAGACAGAGAAACAGGAGACATAAGTACAGAACAGGTGTCATAACAGAGGACAGACACAGGGGCCATACAGGGAGGTAGAAAAGAGAGAAAGAGGTAAAGGAGACACTCAGACAGACAGACATGTCCCAGAGAGAGGTGTCCTTCCATGCTGACTTTGCTCAGAGACCTGGCACAGGTTAGAAGTTTCATTTCTGTTTTACCTCCACAAAGTGTTCCTACCAGAAGAACCCAAGGACACCCATATTTCTGACCTGAGTTGGGCCCTGTGGCCTCAGGCCTTGTGCCACCTACAGATGCCGTGTTTATTCTGACACCTCTGCCTTCCATGCAATGGAGAGTAATCATCCCAGGATATCATGGCCCCTGAACACCAACCCCTGTATGCTGTGTGAACTTGGGGTCCCCAGACTGGATTCTGAGGCTCATATTCCAAATAATCCCACATATGATAGGATCGCTGAGAGACACAGAGAAAAATCAGGGACACCAAAAAGCAAAGACATAAACACACACAAAATGAGCCAGAAGAAGGAGATTAAGAGATTCACAGACACATAAAAAGAAAGAAAAGAGGGCAGAATGGAGAGAATGATGGAAAGGAGGAGAGAAAAGCCCCAAAATCAGAACCCTGAGGGAGGGACACAAAGACAGAGAAAGATAAATATGTGGGGATGGATTGCAGAGATTCCAAATAGAACTAGAGAGACTGAGAGGCAGAGAAAGACAAGGAGACGGAGAGAGAGAGATGATAGATGGATAGATAGACGTAGATAGATGATAAATAGGTAGATGATAGATAATGGATTGGTTATAGATACATAGATGATGACTGATAGATGATACATAGAGATGACGATGATGATGATAGACACATAGATATATACATAGATGATACATAAATAGAGACAGAGAGGCAGACAGAGAGGTAATAGAGAGAGAGATAGATGATACATATATAGATAATAGATGATTGATGGATAGATAGACAGACAGACAATTGATAGAGAGATAGATAAGTGATACATAAATATAGATGATAGATAATTTGTAGATAGACACAAAATAGATAAATAGATAGAAATGTGCAGAAAGTTATGAACAAGACAGAAAGTGAGAGACTCAAAATTAAAGAAAAAGGAAGATCAAGTCAACCAATCCAAGGAGGGTCAGAGAGAATAAAACAATCCAAAAAGGGAAAACATACCTCAGGGTGGGGAAGTGAGGTCATAGACCTAGAGAGACAGAAAAGGTAGAAGGAGGAAACAGATATGAAGAGAGATGGGGTGGAGGGTGAGAGAGAGAGAGAGAGCATTAGGTCATAGAGCAGGGGAGTGAGTTCTCAGCTCAGGTATGAGGGGAGCTATGACAAGGAAGAACCTCCCTGAGGAAACTGCCTCTTCTCCTTCCAGGTCCATATGAGAAACCTTCTCTCTCAGCCCAGCCGGGCCCCAAGGTTCAGGCAGGAGAGAGCGTGACCTTGTCCTGTAGCTCCCGGAGCTCCTATGACATGTACCATCTATCCAGGGAGGGGGGAGCCCATGAACGTAGGCTCCCTGCAGTGCGCAAGGTCAACAGAACATTCCAGGCAGATTTCCCTCTGGGCCCTGCCACCCACGGAGGGACCTACAGATGCTTCGGCTCTTTCCGTCACTCTCCCTACGAGTGGTCAGACCCGAGTGACCCACTGCTTGTTTCTGTCACAGGTGAGAAAAGCCCATATCTCTCTCATGTCCTATGATCCTAAATCCTTAGCTAAGGAGCTTCCTGCTGATGATGGAGAAAAGCATGGACAGATGCAGAGAGAAGACACAGCAGGTGTGAGGGCGGAGTCAGGGCGCAGGATGGCAGACAGGGCACCTCCAAACCCTCCTTCATGGCCTGCATGGAGGCCTCCGATCAGGGCTCCAGGCACCCAGGCAGATGGAGAAAGCGGTCAGGACAGACCCAGAGAAGGGGAGACTGGGCTTAGTTTGGGGAGATCAGAGGTTCCCTCAGCCCCTCAATCTTATCCATTTCCCAGAAGCCCATCATGGCCTCTCACCCACACAGAGAGATATCATCACCAGCAACCCCTACACCCTTTTCTTTTCATTTTCAAAAATATTTATTGAGGTTAAATGTAACTATATAATTTACCACCTTTACCATTTTTAAAAGTAAAATCTAGTGGTCATAAATACCTTTATATGCTGGGTGTGGTGGTTCACGGTTGTAATCTCGGCGCTTTGAGAGGCCAAGGAAGGTGGATCATTTAAGATCAGGAACTCGAGATCACCCTGGCCAACATGTGGGAAATTCATCTTTACTAAACAGACAAGAAAAATTAGCCGAGCATGCTGGCATGCACCTGTAGTCCTAGCTACTTGGGAGGCTGAGGCAGGAGAAGCACTTAAACCCAGGAGGCAGAGGTTGCACTGAGCCGAGATCATGCCACTGCACTGCAGCCTGGGAGACAGAGAGAGACTCTGTTTCTAAATAAATAAATACATCTATATTCTTTTTTTTGTTACCCTCCACCCTTCCCTTCCTGGCCTCTGGTGTCCACCATTGTATTCTCCACCTTCATGAGATCCACCTTTTATCTCCTGCATGTGGGTGAGAAATGGGAATCTTTGTAATGACCTCCAGTTCCATCCATGTGGCTGCAAATGACAGGATGTTATTGTTTCTATGGATGAGTAGTCTCCACTGTGTGTGTGTACCACAGTTCTCTATCCATTCACCCACTGATGGGCAGGTAGGTTGACTCCACATCTTGGCTACTGTGAACAGTGCTGGAACAGTCATATGAGTGCAGATATCACTTCGATACACTGATGTCCTTTCCTTTGGATATAAACCCAGTAGTGAAATTGCTGGACACTATGAAAGTTCTCTTTTTTTTTTTTTCTTTTTTGAGAAAGAGTTTCCCTCCTTAGTCCAAGCTGGAGTCTAAGTGGTGAGATCTTGGCTCATTGCAACCTGTGCCTCCTAGGTTCAAATGATTGTCCTGACTCAGCCTCCCTAGTAGCTGTGATTACAGGTGCACGCCACCATGCCTGGCTAATTTTTGTATTTTTTTAGCACAGACGGGATATCCCAATTTTGGGCAGGCTGCTCTCAAACTCCTGACCTCAAGTGAGGTGCCTGCCTCGGTTTCCCAAAGTGCTGAAGTTACAGGCATAAGCCACTATGCCCAGCCTCCTTTTAGTTTTTTAAAGAATTTCCATACTTTTCTCCATAATAGTTGTACTAATTTACATTCCTACCAACAGGGTACCAGGGTTCTCCTTTCTCTACCATCTTGCCAGCATTTGTTTTGCCTGTCTTGCAGTAAAAGCCATTTTACTTTACTTTATTTTATTTATTTATTTATGTTGAGATGGAGTTTCACTCATAGTCTCCCAGGCTGGAGTGCAAGGGTGTGATCTCAGCTCACTGCAACCTCCGCCTCCCGCGTTCAACTGATTCTCCTGCCTCAGCCTCCAAAGTAGCTGGGATTACAGGCATGTGCCACCACGCCTAGCTAATTTTTGTATGTTTAGTAGAGAGGGAGTTTCTCCATGATGGTCAGGCTGGTCTCCCGACCTCAGGTGATCCGCCCACCTCCGCCTCCTGAAGTGCCGGAATTACAGGCGTGAGCCACCGGCCTAAAAGGCATTTTAATGGGATGAGATGAAAACTCATCGCGATTGTAATTTACATTTCTCTGATGATGAGTGATGCCGAGTACTTTTTCATATACGTGATCGCCATTTCTATGTTTTGTTTGTGGAGAAATGTCTCCTCATGTCTTTTGCTCGTTTTTTAATTAAATTGTTTTATTGAGTTGTTTGAGCTTCTTATATTTCCAGTTATTAATCCCGTCTCAGATGAATAGTTTGCAAATATTTGCTCCTATTTTGTCGGTTGTCTCTTCACTTTCTTGGTTTATCTTTTGTGGTGCAGAAGTTGCTTGGTTTGATGTAATCCTAATGGTCTATTTTTTGCTTTGATTACTTGTGTTTTGAAGGTTTTAAACAAAATGTCTTTCGTCAGACAAATGTCTTCCCCATTATTTTCTTCTACATGTTTCATAGGTTCAGGCCTTAGACTCATGTTTTTAATCCATTTTCATTTGATTTTTGTGTATGGTGACAGGTATAGATGCAGTTTTATTCCTCTGCATGTAGATATCCAGTTTTCCCCACACCATTTATTGAAAAGACTGTCCTTTCCTGATTGTAAGTTCTCGGCACCTTTGTCAAAGTCCATTAAATGGGCTGGGTATGGTGGCTCACACCTGCAATTCCAGCACTTTGGGAGGCCGAGGCGGGTGGATCACCTGAAGCCAGGAGTTCAAGACCAGGCTGGCCAACAGAGTGAAACCTCGTCTCTACTAAAAATACAAAAATTAGCTGAGCATGGTGACCAGTGCCTGTAATACCACTACTCGGGTGTTTGAGGCAAGAGAATTGCTTGAATCCAGGAAGTGGAGGTTGCATTGAGCTGAGATTGCACCTCTGCACTCCAGCCTGCATGACAGAGCAAGATTCTATCACACACACACACAAAAAAAGCCATTGGATGTAAATGCATGGATTATATCTGTGTTCTCCATTCTGTTTCATTTTTTATGTGCCTTTCTTTATGCCAATGTCATGCTGTTTTGCTTACTACAGCTCTGTAACATATTTCTAAGTCAGGTAGTGTGATGCTCCTGTTTTCTCTTTATACCTTCAAGTCTCAAGACAGTGGGCATCGCACACAAAAATTATGGAGAAGAGGATCCCAAGACTCCCAGGGTCCAACATTAGATAACAGAGTGTTGGCCATGAACCAACCTCAAAGATTTCCATTGAGTAGAGGACAAGCACCCTCATTTCCTCACATCTCTCCTGTCCCATGTTCTAGGAAACCCTTCAAGTAGTTGGCCTTCACCCACAGAACCAAGCTCCAAATCTGGTGAGTAAAGGACCCCTCTTATCTCTGCTTTTGGAAACCTGGGGAGGTGGAAGCCTTGGATGCAAGTGTTGGCTCAAACCTCCCAGCTCTGTGAATGAGGGCCTGTCTTCCACCATCTCTGAACTCCAGACACTCCAACAGTGAAAGGGATCTAGGGCCACCAAAGGGCTCAGCGAAGTCTCTTAACCTTTAATGTCCTGCAGGTGAGACCTCCTACAAGCTAGAAGAATGATTGCCAATCTGACATCCTTCTCAGGAAACATGCAGTGTTTTTTCTTCCTGCATTCCTAACTGGAGGATAAATTCCTGGGGACTTGAGAGAGGGAAGGGAAGGGAACATCTGATGAGGGCGAGGTGTTTTAGAGAAGTTCCACTTGCCAAGGAATGAATTACTGTTGGTCATGAAGCAACCCTGGCTGACTCAGCAGAGCAAGAGCCTTGCCGTAACAGAGAACAGAGCTCATGCACGCACACTTCGACTCACTGACTCATTCAGCCACGGCCCCATGCTCAGGCTGTGCAGTTGGAATCCTTTCCTATTGTTGCCATAACAAATTTCCACAAGATTCGTGGGTGAAAACAAAACGGTTTTTTAATTATCTTACAGTGCTGTAGCTCAAAGTAGGAAGTGCATCTTACTGGGCTAAAATCAAGGTGACAGCAAGGCTGCCTTCCCTCTGAGGATTCCAGGCAAGAATCTGCTTCTCACTTGTCCCAGCTTCTAAAGGCTCCCAGTTCCTTGGCTCCTGGTCCCCTTCCTCCTTCCTCAAAGCCCACAAAGACTGGTCACATCTCACATGGCATCACTCAGACCCTTCTTCCTTACCACACCTCTTTCTCTGAATGCTGCTCTCCCTTCTTCCTTATCTTTTGAAAACTTGGGGATTCTATTGGGTTCACCAAGATGAAAATCCATCATAATCTCCCGGAAATCATTCAGGATACCCTTGTTTTAAGTTCAGCTGACTAGCAACCGTAATTCCATCTGCAATCTTCATTCCTTCTTTCCATGTAAAATAAGATATTCACAAGCTATGGAGGCCAGGACAGGGACATTTTGGGGTGGGACAGCATTCTCCTGCCTTCCACGAACGGTGAACAAGATGCATTTGGCCTCTGCTCTTGGGACACTGATATTGCAGATGGTTAAATGGGAGGACAGAAAATGAGTGCACAAGTGGACCAATAAATGAATGATCCATTGGGAAGCATCTGTGCATGAAATCTATTTGTTTGTTCGTTCATTTATTTATTGAGACAGAGTCTCCCTCTGTCTTCCAGGCTACAGTGCAGTGTCACGATCTTGGCTCACTGCAACCTGCGTCTCCTGGATCCAAGTGATTCTCCTGCCTCACCCTCTCGAGTAGCTGGGATTACAGGCAACTGCCACCATGCCCGGCTAATTCTTTTTGTATATTTTTTGTAGAGAGGATGTTTCACCATGTTGGCCAAGCTTGTCTGAAACTCCCAACCTCAAGTGATCCGACCATCTCAGCAACCCAAAGTACTGGGATTACAGGCGTGAGCCACTTTGCCCAGCCAGAATTCAAAATAAATAATAGATAATGCTGAGTGTATAATTTTGGGTGACAGAGAAGGTCTCACTAATCAGATATTTGTGACATTAATGAAAAACACGGATTGAACCCCTGAAAGATTGGCGGAAGGATTTTCCACACACAGCTGTCAGCCGTGAAGGCAGAAAGCTGAAAACAATCTGATGTGGAAGGAAGAGGCTCTGCCTGAAATGCTGGGAATGAGGTGGGGAGAATGACAAGACGACTGTGGAGAGACGGAGAGCACACTGGGTACACAGGAAACTAAGGAGCAACAAGGAGTGTGTGTTTGACACTCACAGCCATTGGATTCACCTCGGGGTAGCCAGGAATCCCTACATGATTAATAGTGACTGACATGAAAATAAGGGAGGCCCAGGTGCGTAACTGGAATCTAGGAGACAGTGGAAAAGGCAATTGCCGCCCCACTGGTGAAATGTGGTGCTGATTTAGACCCTAAGTGGATGAAGCAGATGGATATAAGCTATGTTTGGGAGGTAGAATCATTTGCAGGGAGGGCTTGCTGGGTTTGAGTTTCCTAGTTGTTTAATCCTTGCTAAATTAATTTCTTTCTGAGATTTATTCCTCCTACACATAAATCAATACCTGGCAAAGGAGTGACAGATATATGAGGGGTGGTGGAAATGAAGGGACCTATTATAGCATAGTATACAAGTCTGTGAACGGTGGCTCACTCCTGTAACCCAGCACTGCAGGAGGCTAAGGCCAGTGGATTCCAAGAAGTCAGGAGTTCGAGACCAGCCTGGCCAACATGGAGAAACCCTATCTCTACATGGTGAAACCCTATCTCTCCTAAAAATACAAAAATTAGCCGAGCATGGTGGTGCATCCCTGTAATCCCAGCTCCTGCTCTGGAGGATGAAGCAGGAGAATGACTTCAACCCAGGAGGTGGAGGTTGCAGTGAGTGGAGATCGCATCACTGCACTCCAGCCTGGGTGACACAAGGAGACTCCATCTCAAAAAATAAAAATAAGAAATGCATAAATATAATAAAACACACACGAATGACAAAGGCACCTGAATTCCCATCATCATTTTTCTATTTCTCTATAATTACTTCTTTGATCCTTTATCTTATCCATTAGGCAATCAGCCTAAAACCTCTTCCGTATTTGGCTTTCTGTGAGCATGAGATCATATAGAAAATGTGAAAGCCCGCTGAATCCTCCAGCACAAATCCTGGAATAGAGAAAGTGCTCTGGTCATCACAAAAAAAACTTGCCCCCTCACCCAAATCCCCCATCTCACCCCTACTTCCAATCACCTGTGGAAATACAGATAGATCATGGGGAGGTAAATGCTAATACTCCTTGGAGTGAGTCCAGATCTTGGAATCAGAGATCAGTGCCAGCACTAGCTCCTGCTCCCCTTTCCTACTAATTCACAGGAGGACAGGTGGTATTGAAGCAATAGATAGTCGAGGGGGTGGTCCTTCCCCCAGCCTCTGAGGTAGAACAGCAGCCTAACATGTGTCTCCCGAGATCACAAAGAGTAGCACATTTCACACGGGCTTCAACACTATTTTCTGGCTGTTTGACATAAGAGAATTCTACTTCGCTTTTTTTATATTGATTTCACTTTTGTTTCCTTTTCTTGGAGAATGCAAGTTGTTTAACTCAAGAATGCCGTGGATGTAGAAATCCTAAAGCACATTCGCTGTGTATCAATCCCAGTCCAGTCTTCCCAGAGAAGACTCTAAACACCTCCTGGACTGCACCTGGGCCTATGCCAATTCCTATCACTCACCGTCACTCCAGGGAGACAGAACACACAGAGAATACGTTACATAGGCAGGTTCATTACTAACAGATAAGCAGCGAGTGACAACAGAAGCCTACATTTCAATGTGAGCCAGTTCCCCAAGGCTCAGAAAAGCTGCTCGAGACATGTGGAGTCACCCCATTTGCAGTGTAGCTGGGGGAAGCCAGAAAGCAGCCCAGCCTGGGTTTTGTACCCTGGAGCCACAGGAAGCACTCAGCTAAAGCACTGCATGACGTCCTCCTCCAGGAAGAACAGGAAGACAGCCCAGGCTGTTCTGGGACAATCCTCCTGATCTCAGGACTTTGCTGTCTTAGTCCATTTTTGTTGCTCTAAAGGAACACTTGAGCCTGGGTAACTTCTAAAGAAGAGATTGGTTTGCCTCACCGTTCTGCAGGCTGTACTGGAAGCATGGCACCAGCATCTATTTCTTATGATGGCCTCAGGCCGCTCCCACTCTGGCAGAAGGGAAGGAGGGTCTGTCTGTGCAGAGACCACAGAGATCACACGGCAAGAGAGGGAGCAAGGGGGAGGGGGAGCAATGGAGCTTCCAAGCTCTTTTTAACAACCAGCTCTCCAGGAACTAATAGAGAGGGAACTTGCTAACCCCGTCTCCTTGGGACAGCATTGATCTGTTCATGATGGATCCACCTCCATGACCCAAACACCTCCCAAGAGGCCCAACCTCCCACACTGGGGGTTAAATTTCAATGTGAGGTTTGAAGGGGTCAAACATCTCAACTAAAGTAGTTGTATCCTCAGCACGTTCCATGGTTACTATGAGAGCTATAACTGAGAAAGCAGGAGGAAGCTAGATCTCCCGCCATCTGGGTGCTTGTCCGAAAGAGATGCTGTAAGTGGTTACCTGTCAATCAAGAAATGCAAGACAATTCATATAGAGAAACTGCTATGATTAGCTTCTTACTGGTGTCTCCTCTTCTTCCAGGTAACCCCAGACACCTGCACATTCTGATTGGGACCTCAGTGGTCATCATCCTCTTCATCCTCCTCCTCTTCTTTCTCCTTCATCTCTGGTGCTCCAACAAAAAAAGTAAGTCTCACGGGGCACAGGCCAGAGAGCTCAGGGCCATGTGGGGAAGCAGGATGGGAGCACACAGCTGTGTGTTCCTCACTGGCAGGATGGTCCCTGGCCCAAGACAGGAGCCACAGAGGCAGGACTTTCTAGAGAGAGCACCAGACTCCCTGCCCCTGCCTTCAGCTCACAGACCGTTGCCTGATTCTGAACTGTATCCTCATGTCCCCTGCAGCCACTCACATCCAGGAGAAGGTTCCATGACAGGCAGAAAGTGGGAGACAGAATCAATGGGATGGGAACTCAGAGCTATTCATGGGATGGGTCCTTGAGCTCAGAGAGATAGAATGTCTGAGTCTGCTGTTGGCAACTGAGGGACCTCAGGCACCTATGGCCTCCCCCTGTTTGTTGGTATCTGCTTATGAAATGAGGACCCAGAAGTGCCCTCCGAGCTCTTTTGTTGACTTCCGTCTCCTACAGATGCTGCTGTAATGGACCAAGAGCCTGCAGGGAACAGAACAGCCAACAGCGAGGTAGGTGCTCCTCGGCCCAGCCTCGTGGCTAGTGTTATTCCCAAACAGTCCTGGAAAACGTGAGCACCCTCCCTCACTCAGCATTTCCCTCCCTCACTCAGCATTTCCCTCTCTCCAGGACTCTGATGAACAAGACCCTGAGGAGGTGACATACGCACAGTTGGATCACTGCGTTTTCACACAGAGAAAAATCACTCGCCCTTCTCAGAGGCCCAAGACACCCCCTACAGATACCATCTTGTACACGGAACTTCCAAATGCTAAGCCCAGATCCAAAGTTGTCTCCTGCCCATGAGCACCACAGTCAGGCCTTGAGGACGTCTTCTAGGGAGACAACAGCCCTGTCTCAAAACCGAGTTGCCAGCTCCCATGTACCAGCAGCTGGAATCTGAAGGCGTGAGTCTTCATCTTAGGGCATCGCTCCTCCTCACGCCACAAATCTGGTGCCTCTCTCTTGCTTACAAATGTCTAGGTCCCCACTGCCTGCTGGAAAGAAAACACACTCCTTTGCTTAGCCCACAGTTCTCCATTTCACTTGACCCCTGCCCACCTCTCCAACCTAACTGGCTTACTTCCTAGTCTACTTGAGGCTGCAATCACACTGAGGAACTCACAATTCCAAACATACAAGAGGCTCCCTCTTGACGTGGCACTTACCCACGTGCTGTTCCACCTTCCCTCATGCTGTTTCACCTTTCTTCGGACTATTTTCCAGCCTTCTGTCAGCAGTGAAACTTATAAAATTTTTTGTGATTTCAATGTAGCTGTCTCCTCTTCAAATAAACATGTCTGCCCTCATTGCTTCAGGTAATGTGACACTGTATTCGCTGAAAGAAACCGCTGTTATCATTACCATGTCCACATAACCCCATCTGTTCTCCGCTGGGTTCTCACCCCTGGACTCTGAGCTTCTGGAAGCAGGGTGGAGCCTCATTTGTCTCTGGGACTCCAATTTCCATCCAAAGATGCAGCACATAGGAGGTTCCAAGGATCGTGAATCACATGAACAAGTGATATTCTTACTCTCTGCAACCTGGAAAGCTGGCAGAGTCATTCCACGATGAAACATTTGTAGAGTCATAAGCCTTGCTAGTCTCATCTCCACGGGGACACATATCAACACATCATATTTCATACTATAAATATACAGTCGCTCCTCCATATCTGTGGGGTTTACAGGTGTTTATTGAACCAAGTGTAAATCAAAAATATTCAGAGAAAATGTCCACAAAGTTTCAAAATGCAAAACTATGTTGAATGGACACAAATGAGGCAGTGTGTAGGCTGTATCAGGAATTATAAGTAATCAAGAGATGATTTCATGTATACAGGAGGATGTGCATGGGTTATATCCAAATGCTGTGTCATTTTATGTAAGAGGCTTGAGCATCTGCAGATTTTGGTACCTGAGTGGAGATCCTGAAACCAATCACCCACGAATAGTAAAGGATGACCGTATATGACTTTTATTTCTCAATTTTAAATATAAATCATAAAAAATGTACAATAACTAGATAAAAAGTAAGAAGTGTTTTTATAGTGTGAGAATAAGTTTAGATTTATTTTTTCCTACGTGTAACCCTTTGGTTTAATATTATTTATTAAGAAGACATTCTATGCCACCTTAAACCACACGGCAGCCTTTGTCAACTCTAAAGGGACTGTGTGTACACGGATGTATTTTAGACACTGTTTCTGCTAAGGGGCTCTCTGTGTCCACACTCTTGAGGATGCTGCACTTCATGTAGCCTTATAAAACCCTTTAAATTTAGTAGCCAGAGCCCTCTAATTTGTTATTATAGGCTACTTGCTATTTTTTTTTCTTGAGGCGGAGTCTTGCTCTGTCGCCCAGGCGGGACTGTAGTGGAGCAATCTCAGCTCACTGCAACTTCCGCCTCCCAGGTTCAGGCGATTCTCGTGCCTCAGTCTCTTGAGTAGCTGGCGTTTCAGGTGCCTGCCACCAGGCATGGCTAATTTTTGAATTTTTAGCAGAGACGCGGTTTCACTGTGTTGGCCAGGCTGCTCTCAATCTCCTCATCTCAGTTGATCCGCCCACCTCGGCTTCCCGACCTGCTGGGGGAAACTTGATTTTCTATAGCATTATGTTACTGGATATTTCTGTAAAATTTAAAATGAGGGAGGCAGAGAGACAGAGAGAGAGCAAACTCCAGAGTTGGGACTCTGGAATCTTGAGTCATGAGACAAATTATAGATAAAACTACAAAAATCCAGAATTTACATGTGTGGTTTTTGCTGATAAAGTACAATTCTAAGATTGTAAATAATTGCATAATCCTTCCCTGGGAATTTAAATCATTTGAACTGGTTCTGCTGTAATACTAGAAATACAAGCATGAACAATTCTAATGGTTTATTAGTCACAATGACTCTGAAAACACTAATAATACCTATTAGATATTTTGCATATTACACAGGAAGAAGAGTTCGAATCTCAGATAAAAACAATAAAAATTCATGAAAAGTCTTTCATGTTAGCACAGATTTTAGGCATCTCATGTTTGGGAGGTTGGATCTAAGACATGTTTTGAGTTGGTCATAGTGAAGGACGCGAGGTGTCAATTCTAGTGAGAGCAATTTCCAGGAAGCCATGTTCTGCTCTTGAGCGAGCACCCACTGGGCCTCATGCAAGGTAGAAAAAGCCTGCGTACGTCACCCTCCCATGATGTGGTCAACATGTAAACTGCATGGGCAGGGCGCCAAATAACATCCTGTGCGCTGCTGAGCTGAGCTGGGGCGCGGCCGCCTGTCTGCACCGGCAGCACCATGTCGCTCATGGTCATCATCATGGCGTGTGTTGGTGAGTCCTGGAAGGGAATAGAGGGAGGGAGCGTGGGGATGGAGATCTGGGCCCAGAGGTGGAGATATGGGCCTGGAGGTGGAGTTATGGGCCTGGAGTGGAGATCTGGGCCTAGAGATGGAGTGATGAGCCTAGAAGTGGAGATCTGCGCCTGGAGTGGAGATCTGGGCCTGGAGTGAAGATCTGGGCCTGGAGTGGAGATATGGGCCTGGAGTGGGGATAGGAACCTGGAGTGGAGAGAGGAACCTGGAGGAGAGATAGGAACCTGGAGGGGAGGTAGGAGCCTAGGGTGGAGATATGGGACTGGAGTGGAGATATGGGACTGGAGTGGAGATATGGGCCTGGAGTGGAGTTATGGGCCTGGAGTGAAGTTATGGGCCTGGAGGTGGAGATACGGGCCTGGAGTGGAGATATGAGCCTGGAGTGGAGATATGGTCCTGGAGTGGAGATATGGGCCTGGAGTGGAGATATGGGTCTGCAGTGGAGTTATGGGCCTGGAGTGAAGTTATGGGCCTGGAGGTGGAGATATGGGCCTGGAGTGGAGATATGGGACTAGAGTGGAGATAGGGGCCTGGAGGTGGAGATCTGGGCCTGGAGTGGAGATCTGGGCCTGGAGTGGAGATCTGGGCCTGGAGTGGAGATATGGGCCTGGAGTGGAGATATGGGTCTGCAGTGGAGATATGGGCCTGGAGGTGGAGATATGGGCCTGGAGTGGAGTTATGGGCCTGGAGTGAAGTTATGGGCCTGGAGGTGGAGATATGGGCCTGGAGTGGAGATATGGGACTAGAGTGGAGATAGGGGCCTGGAGGTGGAGATCTGGGCCTGGAGTGGAGATATGGCCCTGGAGTGGAGATATGGGCCTGGAGTGGAGATATGAGCCTGGAGTGGAGATATGGCCCTGGAGTGGAGATATGGGCCTGGAGGTGGAGATATGGGCCTGGAGTGGAGTTATGGGCCTGGAGTGAAGTTATGGGCCTGGAGGTGGAGATATGGGCCTGGAGTGGAGATATGGGACTAGAGTGGAGATACGGGCCTGGAGGTGGAGATCTGGGCCTGGAGTGGAGATATGGCCCTGGAGTGGAGATATGGGCCTGGAGTGGAGATATGAGCCTGGAGTGGAGATATGGCCCTGGAGTGGAGATATGGGCCTGGAGTGGAGATATGAGCCTGGAGTGGAGATATGGCCCTGGAGTGGAGATATGGGCCTGGAGTGGAGATATGGGCCTGGAGTGGACATATGGGTCTGGAGTGGAGATACGGGCCTGGAGGTGGAGATATGGGCCTGGAGTGGAGATATGGGCCTGGAGGTGGTGATATGGGCCTGGAGTGTAGACATGGGCCGAGTGGAGATATGGGTCTGGAGTGGAGATATGGGCCTGGAGTGGAGATATGGGACTGGAGTGGAGATATAGGCATGGGGTGGAGACATGGGCCGGGAGTGGAGATATGGGACTGGAGTGGAGATACGGGCGTGGGGTGGAGATATGTGCCTGGAGGTGGAGATATGGGCGTGGGTTGGAGATATGGGCCTGGAGTGGAGATATGGGCGTGGGGTGGAGATATGGATCTGGAGTGGAGACATGGGCATGGGGTGGAGATATGGGCCTGGTGTGTAGATATGGGCCTGGAGTGGAGATATGGCCCTGGAGTGGAGATATGGGCCTGGAGTGGAGATCTGGGCCTACGGTGGAGATATGGGCCTAGGATGGGGATATGGGCCTGGAATGGAGATATGGGCCTGGGTGTGGAGATATGGGACTGGAGTGGAGATATGGGCCTGATGTGGAGATATGGGCTTGGAGTGGAGATATGATCCTGGAGTGTAGTTATGGGCCTGGAGGTGGAGATCTGGGCCTGGGGTGGAGATATGGGCCTGGAGTGGAGATATGGGACTGGAGAGGAGATATGGGACTGGAGTGGAGATATGGGCCTGGAGTGGAGATATGGGCCTGGATTGGAGATATGGGCCGAGGGTGGAGATCTGAGCCTGGATTGGAGATGTGGGCCCGGATTGGCTATATGGGTCTAGGGTGGAAATATCGGCCTGGAGTGGAGATATGGGCCTGGAGTGGAGATATGGGCTTGGGGTGGGGATATGGGCCTGGAGGCTGGGTCTCTGCACAGCCGAGAGCACTGTTCTTGGGTGCAGGTAGGCTCTGATGGTGAGTTTCCCTTCGGCCCAGGAAGGGGCTGGCTATCAAGACTCACAGCCCAGTGGGGGCAGCAAGGAAGGCCTTGTTTGCCTGCAAATGGATCTTCCATCATGATCTTTCTTTCCAGGGTTCTTCTTGCTGCAGGGGGCCTGGCCACAGGAGGGTAAGTCCTTCTCCAAACCTTAGGGTGTCATCTCCCCACATAAGAGGATTTTCCTGAAACGGGAGGGAAGTCCTGTCAGGGAGTCTCTCATAAACTAGGAAGAGGGGACCCTGGGGTGCTCGGCCCACAGTTCCGACCTTGCCTCCCTGGCCTCTCAACCCCTTGGCAGAGTCAAGTTGTGTGGGGACCAGGGTTGGACTAGGGTGTTCAAAGCTGGGTTGTGTGGTGGGGAAGTGGTAGGAACAGCAGATCCTCTGAGGACAAAGGTGTTACTCACACACTTCAGCGTTTCCATGACGGTAGGGGCTGCAGTGTGGCTGCTGTCATTCTACCAGAAGAGGTGGGAAACCACAGCCATGGCCCTGACATTCCAAATCCTCTGATGGGGGCTAAGTTTTTTATTTTCATTCAGGCAACTGCTGATATTCCATTCTCAAAGGACATGCCCTCCACTTCATGTCTACCCTGTGTTGTTTTATGTCAGTAATCTTACAGTATTAAAATCTAGTAGGAGTCTCTTACTCAGCACTTGCTCAAAGTTCTCAGCTGACACTTTTGTTGTACGGAGACACCTTGTCTTTGTGGGATGGGTCCTTCCTTTAGCCCTAGGCACCAAGGTGTGATAGCAGCCATAGAAATGTGGAAAGTGGGGAGAATCTTCTGAGCACAGGGAGGGAGGCACAGCTCCACATCCTCCTCTCTAAGGCGGCGCCTCCTTCACCCCAAGGTGGTCAGGACAAGCCCTTGCTTTCTACCTGGCCCAGCCTTGTGGTGCCTCCAGAACATGTGACTCTTCAGTGTCACTCTAATCTTGGGTTTAACAACTTCAGTCTGTACAAGGATGATGGGGTGCCTGTCCCTGAGCTGTACAACAGAATATTCTGGAAAAGCCTTTTCATGGGCCCTGTGACCACGTCACATGCAGGGACCTATACATGCCGGGGTTCACACACACACTCCCCCAGTGGGTGGTCGGCACCCAGCAACCCCCTGGTGATCGTGGTCACAGGTCAGAGGGCTCCTGTCTGGGATTCTCCTTGTCCCACCTCCTGAATCCCAGAGCTTCTGGTAGGCATGTCCTTGAGGGTCCCATCACGCAGGCCCTAACTGTATTTGGGGTAAAGGGGGATTGAATACAGGGAAATGGGTGCTGTGGTGGGAAGAATAAGTGTCCCCAGTGATGACTGCATTCTAATCCCTGGAGTCTGTGACTATTTATGTTATAGGGGAAGGGACTGAAGGGGAAGATGGAGCTCAGGTTGTTGATGAGTTGACCTTGAGATGGGGAGACAGCCTGGACTGTCCCGGTGGGCTCAGTATAATCACAAGTGTCCACATGAAAGGAGGAGGAAGAGGAGAGTGGGGATTAGAGCAGCGTAGTGGGAGACTCCATCAGCTTTGAAGGTGGATGAAGGCCATAAGCCATGAATGCAGGTGGCCTATAGAGGCTGGGAAAGTCAAGTAACTGATTCTCCTGAGTCTCCAGAGGGAACACAGCCCTGCAGATGCCTTGATTTTAGCCCTCGAAAAACAGGGTCCGCTTTCTGTCTCCAGAATCGGAGGGGGTCAGTGTGCTCTCTCCTGCTGCCATGCTTCTGATAATTTTCTACAGCAGCAACAGGAAACCAACACTGGAACCCAGGTCAAGGACAAGTTAAGAAAAGACACAAGGATAGCCAGGCATGGTGGCAGGTGCATGTAATCCTAGCGACTCGGGAGGCTGAGAGCAGGAGAATCGCTTGAACCCAGGAGACAGAGGTTGCAGTGAGCGTAGACCACACCACTTCACTCCAGCCTGGGTGAAGGAGTGAGACTCTGTCTCCAAAATTAATTAATTAATTAAAGAAACCAAACAAAGAGAAGGTTGGCTACACCGAGATCAGCAAGGGTGGGATGATGATGCCACCACCAGGCTCCATCCACATAGGGAGGGGTTGATACTCCTCAAATCAGCACGAGGAGCCAGCCTATGGAAACTGGCACCATGGAGAAGGCACAGACATGGCAAGAGTGGCTCCCAGTCCCCACCAGGAACAGGGTGTGTGGACACTGGTGCCTGCCTTACTGATCAGTTCATACCTCCTGCCAAGGATTCCAATTCGTCCAAAAGAGATTGAACCAAGCTGCTAAGAGCCGGGACGTGCAGCCTATCCTGCTTCCTCTTCCACTCCCACATAGACAGTAAGAAAGACATTAGTGTGAAATAGATACAACAGCCCAAGAGATGAGGCTGAGCCCAGTGGGAAGGGAATCACAGCTACTAGAGACAGAGGGACAGAGAAGAGGGAGGGAGACAGATGGAAGGACCTGCACCAGGAGTTATGGGCACAGAAAAGAACATGAAGACACAGAGAGGAAGCAGAGAGACAGACACCAGCGAAGGGAAGGCTCACTCATTCCAGGTGCCATGGATGGGATGATAAAGAGAGACACCTTCTAAACTCACAACCTCTCTTCCTAGGAGTCCACAGAAAACCTTCCTTCCTGGCCCTCCCAGGTCACCTGGTGAAATCAGAAGAGACAGTCATCCTGCAATGTTGGTCGGATGTCATGTTTGAGCACTTCCTTCTGCACAGAGAGGGGAAGTTTAACAACACTTTGCACCTCATTGGAGAGCACCATGATGGGGTTTCCAAGGCCAACTTCTCCATTGGTCCCATGATGCCTGTCCTTGCAGGAACCTACAGATGCTACGGTTCTGTTCCTCACTCCCCCTATCAGTTGTCAGCTCCCAGTGACCCTCTGGACATGGTGATCATAGGTGAGAGTGTCCAGACATTCTTCTCATTGTCATTGGGATGCAGAGTGAATGATCCAGGACTTGGAGACCCAGGTGGTTGTAAGGAAGATGAGCTTGGTATTCTTATGGAGAGAGACTGACTTGGTGAGGTCTGTGCCAACAGAGACAGAGAAACAAGAGACACAAGTACAGACCAGGTGTCATAACAGAGGACAAACACAGGGGCCATACAGGGAGTTAGAAAAGACAGAAAGAGTTAAAGGAGACAGACAGACATGTCCCAGACAGAGGTGTCCTTCCATGCTGACTTTGCTCAGAGACCTGGCACAGGTTAGAAGTTTCATTTCTGTTTTACCTCCACAAAGTGTTCTCTACCAGGAGAACCCAAGGACACCCATATTTCTGACCTGAGTTGGGCCCTGTGGCCTCAGGCCTTGTGGCACCTACAGATGCCATGCTTATTCTGACACCTCTGACTTCCATGCAATGGAGAATAATCGTCCCAAAATATCATGGCCCCAGAACACCAACCCCTGTATGCTGTGTGAACTTGTGGTCTCCAGACTGGATTCTGAGGCTCACATTCCAAATAACCCCACATATCACATATGAGAGGATCACTGAGAAGCACAGAGAGAAATCAGGGACACCAAAAAGCAAAGACATAAACACACAGAGAAAGAGCCAGAGGAAGGAGATTGAGAGACTCACAGACACATAAAGAGAGAGAAGAGGGCAGAGAAGTGGAGAGAATGATGGAAGAGAGCAGAGAAAACCACTAAAATTAGAGTCCTGAGGGCGAGGCACAAGGGCATAGAAAGATGGAGATGTGGGGATGAATTGCAGAGATTCCAAAGAGAACTAGAGAGACCGAGAGGCAGAGCAAGACAGATGATAGATGGATAGATACAGATAGATGATGGATAGATATAGATAGATGATATATAGGTAGATGATAGATAATAGGTTATAGATACATAGATGATGATTGATTGATTCATTAATAGATGATACATAGAGATGATGATGATGAAGATAGATGGATAGATAATACATAGAGATAGAGAGGAAGACAAAGAGAGAAATAATAGAGAGAGAGAGATGATACATATATATAGATAATAGATGATTGACGGATAGACAATTGATAGATAAATAGATGATATATAGATATAGATGACAGGTAGAGAATTTGTAGATAGGCACCGAATAGATAAATAGATGGATTGATAGATAATAGATAGAAATATGCAGAAAGTTATGAACGGGACACAAACTGAGAAACTCAGAGTTAAAAAAAGTAACATCAAGTCAACCAATCCAAGGAGAGCCAGAGAGAATAAAACAATCCAAAAACGGAAAACATAACTAGAGGTAGGGAAGTGAGGTCAGAGACCTACAGAGACAGAGAAGGTGGAAGGAGGAAATAGACATGAAGAGAGATAGGGTGGAGGGTGAGACAGAGAAAGAGAGCATTAGGCCATAGAGCAGGGGAGTGAGTTCTCAGGTCAGGTGTGAGGGGAGCTGTGACAAGGAAGATCCCCCCTGAGGAAACTGCCCCTTCTCCTTCCAGGTCTATATGAGAAACCTTCTCTCTCAGCCCAGCCGGGCCCCACGGTTCAGGCAGGAGAGAATGTGACCTTGTCCTGCAGCTCCATCTATCCAGGGAAGGGGAGGCCCATGAACGTAGGCTCCCTGCAGTGCGCAGCATCAACGGAACATTCCAGGCCGACTTTCCTCTGGGCCCTGCCACCCACGGAGGGACCTACAGATGCTTCGGCTCTTTCCGTGACGCTCCCTACGAGTGGTCAAACTCGAGTGATCCACTGCTTGTTTCCGTCACAGGTGAGGAAACCCCATATCTGTCCCATGTCCTATGATCCTAGAGCCTTAGCTGAGGAGCTTCCTGCTGATGATGGAGAGAAGCATGGACAGATGCAGAGAGAAGACGCAGCATGCCTGTGAGGGAGGGATCAGGGCGCAGGATGGCACACACAGCACCTCCAAACCCTCCTGCATGGCCTGCATGGAGGCCTCCGATTAGGGCTCCAGAAACCCAGGCAGATGTAGAAAGCGGTCAGGAGAGACCCAGAGAAGGGGAGACTGGGCTCAGTTTGGGGAGATCAGAGGTTCCCTCAGCCCCTCAACCTTACCCATTTCCCAGAAGCCCTTCCTGGCCTCTCACCCACACAGAGATGTCATCACCAGCAACCCCTACATCCTTTTCTTTTTGTTTGAAAAAATATTCATTGAGGTTAAATATACCTATATAGCTTACCACTTTTAACATTTTTTTTTTTTTGAGGTGGAGTCTAGCTCTGTCTCCTATGCTGGAATGCAGTGGCACAATCTCAGCTCACTGTAACCTCCGCCTCCTGGGTTCAAGCGATTCTCCTGCCTCAGCCACCTGAGTAGCTGGTACTACAGGCGCCCATCACCACGCCGGGCTACTTTTTGTATTTTTAGTAGAGAGGGGGTTTCACCATGTTGGTCGAGCTGCTCTGGAACTCCTGACCACGTGATCCACCCGCCTCAGGCTCCCAAAGTGCTGGGATTACAGGCATGAGCCACCGCGCCCGGCCACGTTTACCAATTTTAAGTGTAAGGTCTAGTGGTCATAAATACATACATATAAATTTTTTGTTTGTTTGTTTTATCCTCCACCCTTTTCTTCCTGGCCTCTGGTAGCCACCATTCTACTCTCTATCTTCATGAGATCCACCTTTTAGCTCCTGTATATGGGTGAGAAATGAGAATATTTGTAATGACTTCCAGTTCCATCCATGTGGCTGCAAATATCAGGATGTTATTCTTTCTATGGATGAGTAGTCTCCGCTGTGCGTATGTACTACATTCTCTCTATCCATTCATCCACTGATGGGCAGGTAGGTTGACTCCACATCTTGGCTACTGTGAAGAGTGCTGCACCAATCATACGAGTGCAGATATCACTTCGATACATTGATTTACTTTCCTTTGGATATAAACCCAGTAGTGAAATTGCTGGATACTATGAAAGTTCTCTTTTTAGTTTTTCGTTTGTTGTTTTGTTTTTGTTTTTGAGACAGTTTCCCTCTGTGCCCAGGCTGGAGTACAAGTGATGTGATCTTGGCTCATTGCAACCTCCGCCTCCTGGGTTCAAATGATTTTCCTGCCTCAGCCTCCCTAGTAGCTGGGATTACAGGTGCACGCCACCATGCCGGGATACTTTTTGGTTTTTTTTAGTGTACATGGGGTTTCCCCAGGTTGGCTAGGCTGCTCTCAAACTCATGACCTCAACTGAGGTGCCCGCCTCGGTCTCCCAAAGTGCCGGGATTACAGGCATGATCCACTTCATCCAACCTCTTTTTAGTTCTTTAAAGGACTTCCATACTTTTCTCCGTAATGGCTGTACTAATTTACACTCCTACCAACAGGGTACCAGGGTTCTCCTTTCTCTACCACCTTGCCAGCATTTGTTTTGCCTGTCTTGCAGCTAAAAGCCATTTTATTTTATTTCATTTTATTTTGAGATGGAGTTTCGCTCTTGTCACCCAGGCTGGAGTGCAGTGGTGCGATCTCGGCTCACCGCAACCTCCACCTCCCAGGTTCAAGCGATTCTCCTGCCTCAGCCTCCCGAGTAGCTGGAATTACAGGCACACGCCACCACGCCCGACTAATTTTTGTATTTTTAGTAGAGACAGCGTTTCTCCATGTGGGTCAGACTGGTCTCAAACTCCCGACCTTATGAGATTCGCCCACCTCGGGCTCTCAGAGTTCTAGGATGACAGACGTGAGCCACCTCGCCCGGCCTAAAAGCCATTTTAATGGGGTGAGATGAAAACTCACTTTGATTTTAATTCGCGTTTCTCTGATGATGAGTGATACTGAGCACTTTTTCGTATGTGGGGAAATTTCATGTCTTTTGCTCCTTTTTCAATTAAATCATTTGTTTTATTGAGTTGTTTGAGCTTCTTATACTTCTAGTTATTAATCCCGTCTCAGATGCATAGTTTGCACATATTTGCTCCCAATCTGTGGGTTGTCTCTTCACTTTGTTGGTTTATTTTTAGCGGTGCAGAAGTTGCTTAGTTTGAGGTAATCCCAATGGTCTATTTTTGCTTCGATTACTTGTGTTTTGAAGGTTTAAAACAAAATGTCTTCCTTCAGACAAATGTACTGGAGCATTTCCCCAATATTTTCTTCTACGTGTTTCACAGGTTCAGGCCTTAGACTCACATCTTTAATCCACTTTCATTTGATTTTTGTGTATGGTGACAGGTAGAGGTGCAGTTTCATTCCTCTGCATGTAGATGTCCAGGTTTCCCTGCACTGTTTATTGAAAAAACTGTCCTTTCCTGATTGTGAGTTCTTGGCACCTTTGTCAAAGTCCATTGGATGGGCTGGGCATGGTGGCTAACACCAGCAACTTCAGCACTTTGGGAGGCCAAGGCTGGTGGATCACCTGAGGACAGGAGTACAAGATTACTCTGGCCGACGTGATGAAACCTCGTCTCCACTAAAAATATAAAAATTAGCTGAGCATGGTGGTCAGCACCTGTAATACTACTACTCAGGAGTTTGAGGCAAGAGAATTGATTGAACCCAGGAGGCTGAGGTTGCAGTGAACCGAGATTGCACCTCTGCACTCCAGCCTGGGTGACAGAGCGAGACTCCATCTCAAAAGAAAAAATAAAAAAAATTGGATGTAAATGCATGGATTATATCTGTGTTCTTCATTCTGCTCCGTTGTTCTATGTGCCTTTCTTCATGCCAACATCATGCTGTTTTGCTTACTACAGCTCTGTAACATATTTTGAGATCAGGTAGTGTGATGCTCCTGTTTTCTCTTTATACCTTGAAGTCTCAAGACAGTGGGCGTCACATACAAAAATTATGGAAGAAAGGATCCCTGGACTCCCAGGGCCCAATGTTAGATAACAGAGTGTTGGCCATGAACCAAACTCAAAGATTTCCACTGAGTAGAGGACAGACACCCTCATTTCCTCACCTCTCTCCTGTCTCATGTTCTAGGAAACCCTTCAAATAGTTGGCCTTCACCCACTGAACCAAGCTCCAAAACCGGTGAGTACAGGACCCTCTTATATCCGCTTTTGGAACCCTGGGGAGGTGGAAACCTTGGATTCAGGCGTTGACTCAGCATCTCACAGCTCTGACATTGTACGCCTGTCTTCTACCATCTCCGAACTCCAGATACTCCAACAGCGAAAGGGATCTGGGCCCAACACAGGGCTCAGTGAAATCTCTTCATCTCTCATTTTATGGAGCTGAGACCTCCTACAAGCTAGAAGAATGATTGCCAATCTGACATCCTTCTCAGGAAAAACGCAATGTTTGTTCTGCTTGCATTCCTAACTGGAGGATAAATTCCTGGGGGCTTGAGAGAGGGAAGGGAAGCGAACATCTGATGAGGGCGAGGTGTTTTAGAGAAGTTCCACTTGCCAAGGAATGAGCTCCTGTTGGTCATGAAACAACCCTGGCTGACTCAGCAGAGCAAGAGCCTTGCCGTAACAGAGAACAGAGCTCATGCACGCACACTTTGACTCACTGACTTATTCAGCCACGGCCCCATGCTCAGGTTGTGCAGTGTGGAAGCTTTTCCTATTGTTGCCATAACAAATTTCCACAAGATTCGTGGGTGAAAACAAAACGGTTATTTAATTATCTTACAGTGCTCTAGCTCAAAGCATGAAGTGCATCTCACTGGGCTAAAATCAAGATGACAGCAAGCCTGCCTTCCCTCTGAGGATTCCAGGCAAGAATCTGCTTCTCACTTGTCCCATCTTATAAAGGCTCCCAGTTCCTTGGCTGCTGGTCCCTTTCCTCCTTCCTCAAAACCCACAAAGACTGGTCACATCTCACATGGCATCACTCAGACCCTTCTTCCTTACCACACCTCTTTCTCTGAATGCTGCTCTCCCTTCTTCCTCATCTTTTGAAAACTTGGGGATTCTATTGGGTTCACCAAGATGAAAATCCGTCATAATCTCCCGGAAATCATTCAGGATACCCTTGTTTTAAGTTCAGCTGATTAGCAACCATAATTCCATCTGCAATCTTCATTCCTCCTTTCCATGTAAAATAACATATTCACAAGCTATGGAGGCTAGGACAGGGACATTTTGGGGTGGGACAGCATTCTCCTGCCTTCCACAAATGGTGAACAAGATGCATTTGGCCTCTGCTCTTGGGACACTGATATTGCAGATGGTTAAATGGGAGGACAGAAAATGAATGCACAAGTGGACCAATAAATGAATGATCCATTGGGAAGCATCTGTGCATGAAATCTATTTGTTTGTTCGTTCGTTTGTTTATTGAGACAGAGTCTCCCTCTGTCTTCCAGGCTACAGTGCAGTGTCACGATCTTGGCTCACTGCAACCTGCGTCTCCTGGATCCAAGTGATTCTCCTGCCTCACCCTCTCGAGTAGCTGGGATTACAGGCAACTGCCACCATGCCCGGCTAATTCTTTTTGTATATTTTTTGTAGAGAGGATGTTTCACCATGTTGGCCAAGCTTGTCTGAAACTCCCAACCTCAAGTGATCCGACCATCTCAGCAACCCAAAGTACTGGGATTACAGGCGTGAGCCACTTTGCCCAGCCAGAATTCAAAATAAATAATAGATAATGCTGAGTGTATAATTTTGGGTGACAGAGAAGGTCTCACTAATCAGATATTTGTGACATTAATGAAAAACACGGATTGAACCCCTGAAAGATTGGCGGAAGGATTTTCCACACACAGCTGTCAGCTGTGAAGGCACAAAGGTGAAAACAATCTGATGTTGAAGGAAGAGGCTCTGCCTGAAATGCTGGGAATGAGGTGGGGAGAATGACAAGATGACTGTAGAGAGATGGAGAGCACTCTGGGTACACAGGAAACTAAGGAGGAACAAGGAGTGTGTGTTTGACACTCACAGCCATTGGATTCACCTCGGGGTAACCAGGAATCCCTACATGATTAATAGTGACTGACAAGAAAATAAGGGAGGCCCAGGTGCGTAACTGGAATCTAGGAGACTGTGGAAAAGGCAATTGCCGCCCCACTGGTGAAATGTGGTGCTGATTTAGACACTAAATGAATGAAGTAGATGGATATAAGATATGCTTGTGAGGTAGAATCATTGGCTGGAAAGGCTTGCTGGGTTTGATTTTCCTACTTGTTTAATCCTCGCTTAATTAATTTCTTTCTGAGATTTATTCATCCTACACATAAATCAATACCTGGCAAAGGAGTGACAGATATATGAGGGGTGGTGGAAATGAAGGGACCTATTATAGCATAATATACAAGTCTGTGAACGGTGGCTCATGCTTGTAACCCAGCCCTGCAGGAGGCCAAGGCGGGTGGATTCCATGAAGTCAGGAGTTCCAGACCAGCCTGGCCAACATGGTGAAACCCTATCTGTACTAAAAATACAAAAATTAGCCGAGCATGGTGGTGCATCCCTGTAATCCCAGCTCCTACTCTGGAGGATGAAGCAGGAGAATGACTTCAACCCAGGAGGTGGAGGTTGCAGTGAGTGGAGATTGCATCACTGCACTCCAGCCTGGGTGACACAAGGAGACTCCGTCTCAAAAAATAAAAATAAGAAATGCATAAATATAATAAAACACACACGAATGACAAAGGCACCTGAATTCCAATCATCATTTTTCTATTTCTCTATAATTACTTCTTTGATCCTTTATCTTATCCATTAGGCAATGAGCCTAAAACCTCTTCCCTATTTGGCTTTCTGTGAGCATGAGATCACATAGAAAATGTGAAAGCCCGCTGAATCCTCCAGCACGGATCCTGGAATAGAGAAAGTGCTCTGTTCATCGCAAAAAAAAACTTGCCCACTCACCCAAATCCCCCACCTCACCCCTACTTCCAATCACCTGTGGAGATTCAGATAGACCATGGGGAGGAAACATTAATACTCCTTGGAGTGAGTCCAGATCTTGGAATCAGAGATCAGCGACAGCACTAGCTCCTGTTCCCCTTTCCTACTAATTCACAGGAGGACAGGTGGTATTGAAGCAATAGATGGTGGAGGGGGTGGTCCTTCCCCCAGCCTCTCGGGTAGAACAGCAGCCTAACATGTGTCTCCCGAGATCACAAAGAGCAGCACATTTCACACGGGCTTCAACACTATTTTCTGGCTGTTTGACATAAGAGAATCTTGCTTCGCTATTTTTAATCGTGATTTCACCTTTGTTTCCTTTCCTTGGTGAATGCAATTTGTTTGACTCAAGAATGCTGTGGATGTAGAAATCCTAAAGCACATTCGCTGTGTATCAATCCCAGTGCAGTCTTCCCAGAGAAGACTCTAAACAAATCCTGGACTGCACCTGGGCCTATGCCAATTCCTATCACTCACCGTCACTCCAGGGAGACAGAACACACAGAGAATACGTTACATAGGCAGGTTCATTACTAACAGATAAGCAGTGAGTGACAACAGAAGCCTGCATTTCAATGTGAGCCAGTCCCTCAAGGCTCAGAAAAGCTGCTCGGGACATATGGAGTCACCCCATTTGCAGTGTAACTGGGGGAAGCCAGAAAGCAGCCCAGCCTGGGTTTTGTACCCTGGAGCCACAGGAAGCACTCAGCTAAAGCACTGCATGACGTCCTCCTCCAGGAAGAACAGGAAGACAGCCCAGGCTGTTCTGAGACATTCCTCCTGATCTCAGGATGTTGCTATCTTAGTCCATTTTTGTTGCTCTAAAGGAACACTTGAGCCTGGGTAACTTCTAAAGAAAAGAGATTGGTTTGCCTCACAGTTCTGCAGGCTGTACTGGAAGCATGGCACCAGAATCTATTTCTCGTGATGGCCTCAGGCTGCTCCCACTCTGGCAGAAGGGAAGGAGGGTCTGTCTGTGCAGAGACCGCAGAGATCACACGGCAAGAGAGAGAGTAAGGGGGAGAGGGAGCGATGGAGCTTCCAAGCTCTTTTTAACAACCAGCTCTCCAGGAACTAACAGAGGGGGAACTTGCTAACCCCGTCTCCTTGGGACAGCATTGGTCTGTTCATGATGGATCCACCTCCATGACCCAAACACCTCTGAAGAGGCCCAACCTCCCACAATGGGGGTGAAATTTCAATGTGAGGTTTGAAAGGGTCAAACATCTCAACTAAAGTAGTTGTATCCTCAGCACGTTCTATGGTTACTATGAGAGCTATAATTGAGAAAGCAGGGGAAAGCTAGGTCTCCCGCCATTTGGGTGCTTGTCCTAAAGAGACGTTGTATGTGGTTACCTGCCAATCAAGAAATGCGAGACAATTCATAAAGAGGAACTGCTATGATTAGCTTCTTATTGGTGTCTCCTCTTCTTCCAGGTAACCCCAGACACCTACATGTTCTGATTGGGACCTCAGTGGTCAAAATCCCTTTCACCATCCTCCTCTTCTTTCTCCTTCATCGCTGGTGCTCCGACAAAAAAAGTAAGTCTCACGAAGCAGAGGCCAGAGAGCTCAGGGCCATGTGGGGAAGCAGGATGGGAGCACGCGGATGTGTGTTCCTCACCAGCAGGATGGTCCCTGGCCCAAGACAGGAGCCACAGAGGCAGGACTTTCTAGAGAGAGCACCAGATTCCCTTCCCCTGCCTTCAGCTCACAGACCATTGCCTGATTCTGAACTGTATCCTCACGTCCCCTGCAGCCACTCACATCCAGGAGAAGGTTCCATGACAGGCAGAAAGTGGGAGATAGAATCAATGGGATGGGACCTCAGAGCTATTCATGGGATGGGTCCTTGAACTCAGAGAGATAGAATGTCTGAGTCTGCTGTTGGCAACTGAGGGACCTCAGGCACCTATGGCCTCCCCCTGTTTGTTGGTATCTGCTTATGAAATGAGGACCCAGAAGTGCCCTCCGAGCTCTTTTGTTGACTTCCGTCTTCTACAGATGCTGCTGTAATGGACCAAGAGCCTGCAGGGAACAGAACAGTGAACAGCGAGGTAGGTGCTCCTCGGCCCAGCCTCGTGGCTAGTCTTATTCCCAAAGAGTCCTGAAAAATGTGAGCACCCTCCCTCACTCAGCATTTCCCTCTCTCCAGGATTCTGATGAACAAGACCATCAGGAGGTGTCATACGCATAATTGGATCACTGTGTTTTCACACAGAGAAAAATCACTCGCCCTTCTGAGAGGCCCAAGACACCCCCAACAGATACCAGCATGTACATAGAACTTCCAAATGCTGAGCCCAGATCCAAAGTTGTCTTCTGTCCACGAGCACCACAGTCAGGCCTTGAGGGGATCTTCTAGGGAGACAACAGCCCTGTCTCAAAACCGGGTTGCCAGCTCCCATGTACCAGCAGCTGGAATCTGAAGGCATCAGTCTTCATCTTAGGGCATCGCTCTTCCTCACACCACGAATCTGAACATGCCTCTCTCTTGCTTACAAATGTCTAAGGTCCCCACTGCCTGCTGGAGAGAAAACACACTCCTTTGCTTAGCCCACAATTCTCCATTTCACTTGACCCCTGCCCACCTCTCCAACCTAACTGGCTTACTTCCTAGTCTACCTGAGGCTGCAATCACACTGAGGAACTCACAATTCCAAACATACAAGAGGCTGCCTCTTAACACAGCACTTAGACACGTGCTGTTCCACCTCCCTTCAGACTATCTTTCAGCCTTCTGCCAGCAGTAAAACTTATAAATTTTTTAAATAATTTCAATGTAGTTTTCCCGCCTTCAAATAAACATGTCTGCCCTCATGGTTTCGGTAACGAGACTCTTTTCTTGCCTAAGGCTTCCGGTGTTATCATTACCATGTCCACATAACCCCATCTGTTCTCCATTGGGTTCTCAGCCCTGGACTCTGAGCTTCTGGAAGCAGAATGGAGCCTGATTTGTCTCTGAGACTCCAATTTCCATCCAAAGATACAGCACATAGGAGGCTCCAAGGATCGTGAATCACATGAACAAGTGATATTCTTACTCTCTGCAGACCTGGAAAGCTGGCAGAGTCATTCCACGATGAAACATTTGTAGAGTCATAGGCCTTGTTAGCCTCATCTCCACGGGGACACATATCAACATATCATCTTTCATAATATAAATATACAGTCGGTCCTCCATATCTGTGGGGTTTACAGGTGTTTATTGAACCAACAATAAATCAAAAATATTTTCAGAAAAAAATCCCCGAAGTTTCAAGAAGCAAAAAACTATGTTGAATCGACACAAATTGAGTGGCGTGTAGGCTGTGTCAGGAATTATAAGTAATCAAGAGATGATTTCATGTATACAGGAGGATGTGCATGGGTTCTATGCAATTACTATGCTATTTTTTTTTTTTGAGACAGTCTCACTCTCTCACCCAGGCTGGAGTGCAGTGGCATGATCTCAGCTCACTGCAACCTCCGCCTCCCAGGTTCAAGCGATTGTCTTCCCTCAGCCTCCCCAGTAGCCTCCCCTAGGATTACAGGCACGTGCCACCATGCACAGATAAATTTTTTTGTGTGTGTATTTTTAGTAGAGATGGGGTTTCAGAATGTTGGACCAGCTGGTCTTGAACTCCTGACCTCGTGATCTACCCAACTCAGCCTCCCAAAGTGCTGGGATTACAGGCGTGAGCCACGGTGCCCAGCTTCGCTATGCCATTTCATGCAAGGGGCTTGAGCATCTGCAGATTTTGGTATCTGAATGGGGATCCTGGAACCAATCACCCAGGAATAGTGAAGGACCACAGTATATAATTTTTATTTGTCAATCTTAAAAATAAAGCATAAAAAGTTTACAACAACAAGATAAAAAATAAGAAGTGTTTTTATAGTGTGAGGATAAGTTTAGATTTATTTTTTCCTACGTGTAACCCTATGGTCCTGTGTTATTTATTGAGAAAATATTCTATTCCACCTTAAACTACATGGCAGCCTTTGTCAACTATAAAGGGACTGTGTATCCACAGATGTATTTTAGACACAGTTTTCTGCCCAGTGGTTCTCTGTATCCCCTCTCATGAGGATGCTGCATTTCATATAAACTTATAGAACCCCTTAAAATTTGGTAACCTGAGTTCTCTGATTTGTTATTATAGGTTATTTAGTTTGCTTTTTTTTTTCTTTCTTGAGACAGACTCTTCCTCTGTCACCCAAGCTGGAGTTCAGTGGCTTGAGCTCAGCTCACTGCAGCCTCCGCCTCCCAGGTTCAAGCAATTCTCGTGCCTCAGGTTTAGTACTAGAAACTCATCAGGAAAATTAGAATGGCTTTTTGTCACAATTACTCTGATAATGTTAATAATACCTCTTAGATATTTTGCACATTACACATGAAGAAAAGTTTGAATCTCAGATAAAAACAAAAATACATCAAAAGTCTTTAATGTAAGCACAGAATTCAATCACCTCATGTGTGAGAGGTTGGATCTGAGACGTCTTTTGAGTCTGGTCATAGTGAAGGATGCAAGGTGGCAATTGTAGTCACAACAATTTCCAGGAAGCCATGTTCCGCTCTTGAGCGAGCACCCACTGGGCCTCATGCAAGGTAGAAAGAGCCTGCGTACGTCACCCTCCCATGATGTGGTCAACATGTAAACTGCATGGGCAGGGCGCCAAATAACATCCTGTGCGCTGCTGAGCTGAGCTGGGGCGCGGCCTCCTGTCTGCACCGGCAGCACCATGTCGCTCACTGTCGTCAGCATGGCGTGCGTTGGTGAGTCCTGGAAGGGAATAGAGGGAGGGAGAGTGGGGATGGAGATCTCGGCCTAGAGGTAAAGATATGGGCCTGGAGTGGAGATATGGGCCTGGAGTGGAGATATGGGCCTGGGTGTGGAGATATGGGCCTGGAGGTGTAAATATGGGCCTGGAGTGGAGATATGGGCCTGGAGGGGAGATATGGGCCTGGGTGTGGAGATATGGGCCTGGAGTGGAGATACGGGCCTGGAGTGGAGATATGGGCCTGGAGTGGAGATATGGGCCTGCAGGTGGAGATCTGGGCCTGGAGTGGAGATATGGGCCTGGAGTGGAGATATGGGTCTGATGTGGAGATATGGGCCTGGAGTGGAGATATGGGCCTGGAGTGGAGATATGGGCCTAGAGGGGAGATCTGGGCCTGGAGTGGAGATATGGGTCTGATGTGGAGATATGGGCCTGGAGTGGAGATATGGGTCTGATGTGGAGATATGGGCCTGGAGTGGAGATAGGGGCCTGGAGTGGAGATATGGGCCTGGAGTGGAGATCTGGGCCAGGAAGTGTTGATCTGGGCCTGGAGCCTGGGTCTCTCCACAGCTGAGAGCCCTGTTCTTGGCAGCAGGTAGCAGGGAGGCTAAGTTTACCTTCAGCCCAGCAAGGGCCTGGCTGCCAAGACACACAGTGCAGTGGGGGCAGCAGGGTGCCCTGGTTTGCCTGCAGTTGGATCGTCTATCATGATCTTTCTTTCCAGGGTTCTTCTTGCTGCAGGGGGCCTGGCCACTCATGGGTGAGTCCTTCCCCAAACCTTAGGGTGTCATCTCCCCACATAAGAGGATTTTTCTGAAACAGGAGGGAAGTCCTGTCGGGGAGTCTCTCATAAACTAGGAAGAGGGGACCCTTGGATACTCGGCCCACATTTCTGACCTCGCCCTCCCCGGCCTTTCTTTCCCTTTCCTGAGTCAAGCTCTGTGAAGACTGGGGTGAGACTGGGGTGCTCCAAGCTGGGGTGTGCAGGGAGGAAGTGGTGTCAGCAGCAGAGAAAGAGAGGGAAGCAGTGCTAGGAACAGCAGGTCCTCTGAGGACAAAGGTATAACTGACACCCTCCAGCGTTTCCGTGACGGTAGGGACTGCAGTGTGGCTGCGGTCTTTCTACCAGAAGAGGGGGGAAACCACAGCCATGGCCCTGACATTCCAAATCCTCTGAGGGGGCTCAGTTCATGAATTGGCTGATATTCCATTCACATAGGACATGCCCTCCATGCCGTGTCTACTTTGTGTTGTTTTATGTGAGTAATTTTGCAGTATTAAAATCTAGTAAGAGTCACTTATTCAGCACTTGCTCAAAGTTCTCAGCTGACACTTGTTGTAGGGAGACGCCATGTCTATGTGGGGTGGGTCCTTCCTGTAGCCCTGGGCACCCAGGTGTGGTAGGAGCCTTAGAAAGTGGAAATGGGAGAATCTTCTGAGCACAGGGAGGGAGGGGTGGCTCCACATCCTCCTCTCTAAGGCAGTGCCTCCTTCTCCCCCAGGTGGTCAGGACAAACCCTTCCTGTCTGCCCGGCCCAGCACTGTGGTGCCTCGAGGAGGACACGTGGCTCTTCAGTGTCACTATCGTCGTGGGTTTAACAATTTCATGCTGTACAAAGAAGACAGAAGCCACGTTCCCATCTTCCACGGCAGAATATTCCAGGAGAGCTTCATCATGGGCCCTGTGACCCCAGCACATGCAGGGACCTACAGATGTCGGGGTTCACGCCCACACTCCCTCACTGGGTGGTCGGCACCCAGCAACCCCCTGGTGATCATGGTCACAGGTCAGAGGCTTTCTGTCTGGGCTTCTCACTGTCCCACCTCCTGAATCCCAGAGCTTCTGGTGGGGGTGTCCATCAGGGTCCCATCACCCAGGCCCCAACTGTATTTGGGGTCAAGGGAGATTGAATACAGGGGAAATGGGCGCTGTGGTGGGAAGAATAACTGTCGCCAATGATGGCTACATTGTAAACCCTGGAGCCTGTGACTATTTATGTTATAGGGCAGGGGACTGAAGGGGAAGGTGGAGCTCAGGTTGTTGATGAGTTGACCTTGAGATGGGGAGACAGCCTGGACTGTCCTGCTGGGCTCAGTGTAATCACAAGGGTCCGCGTGAGAGGTGGAGGAAGAGGGGAGTGGGGATTAGAGCAGTGTAGTGGGAGGGAGACGCTATCAGCCACTGTGGGCTTTGAAGGTGGAGGAAGGCCACTAGTCACAGAATGCAGGTGGCCTCTAAGGGCTGGAGAAGTCAAGAGAACTGATTTGCTGAGTCTCCAGAGGGAACGCAGCCCTGCAGATGCCTTGATTTCAGCACAGGGAGAACTGGATCCAATTTCTGTCCCCAGAAGTGGAAGGGGTCAGTGTGTTCTCTCCTGCTGCCATGTTTGTGATAATTTTCTGCAGCAGCAACAGGAAACCGACACAGGAACCCAGGTCAAGGACAAGCTAGGAAACCAAACAAGGATAGCCAGGTGTGGTGGTGGGCACGAGTAATCCAACGACTGGGGAGGCTGAGGCAAGATAATCACTTGAACCGGGGAGGCAGAGGTTGCAGTGAGCCAAGACAACACCACTGCACTCCAGCCTGGGTGAAAAAGTGACTGTCTCAAAAATAAATTAATTAATCAATTAATTAAAGAAACCAAACAAGGAGAAGGTTGGCTACCGTGGGATCAGCAAGGGTGGGATGCTGATGCCACCACCAGGCTCCATCCACATAGGAAGGGGTTGATGCTCCTGGAACCAGCACCAGGGACCACCCTATGGAAGCTGGGGCCATGGAGAAGGCACAGACATGGCAGGAGAGGCTCCCAATCCCCATCAGGAACAGGGTGTGTGGACACTGATGTCTGCCTTACTGATGAGTTGATACCTCTGCCAGAGACTCCAATTTGTTCAAAAGAGATTGATTCAGGCTGCTGAGAGCCTGGACATGCAGCCTGTCCTCTTCCACCCCCACATAGACAGCAGGAAAGAGACTAGTGGGAAAGAGATACAACAGCCCAAGAGATGAGGCTCTCTTCACAGTGGGAAGGGAGTCAGGGGCTACTGGAGACAGAGGGACAGAGAAGAGGGAGGAAGACAAATGGAGGGACCTGCACCAGGGGATATGGGCACAGAAAAGACACGGAGACACAGAGAGGGAGGAGAGAGACAGACCTCTGGGAGGGGAACCCTCACTCATTCCAGGTGCCATGGATGGGATGATAAAGAGAGATGCCTTCTAAACTCACAACTTCTCTTTCTAGGAAACCACAGAAAACCTTCCCTCCTGGCCCACCCAGGGCCCCTGCTGAAATCAGGAGAGACAGTCATCCTGCAATGTTGGTCAGATATCATGTTTGAGCACTTCTTTCTGCACAGAGAGGGGATCTCTGAGGACCCCTCACGCCTCGTTGGACAGATCCATGATGGGGTCTCCAAGGCCAACTTCTCCATCGGTCCCTTGATGCCTGTCCTTGCAGGAACCTACAGATGTTATGGTTCTGTTCCTCACTCCCCCTATCAGTTGTCAGCTCCCAGTGACCCCCTGGACATCGTGATCACAGGTGAGAGTGTCCAGACATTCTTCTCATTGTCATTGGGACACAGAGTGAATGATCCAGGACTTGGAACCCCCAGGTGGTCATGAGGAAGATAAGCGTGGGATTCTTATGGAGAGAGACTGACTCGGTGAGGTCTGTACCAACAGAGACAGGGAAACAGGAGACATAAGTACAGACCAGGTGTCATAACAGAGGACAGACACAGGGGCCATACGGGGAAGTAGAAAAGAGAGAAAGAGGTAAAGGAGACACTCAGACAGACAGACATGTGCCAGAGAGAAGTGTCCTTCCATGCTGACTTTGCTCAGAGACCTGGCACAGGTTAGAAGTTTCATTTCTGTTTTGTCTCCACAAAGTGCTTCTACGAGGAGAACCCAAGGACACCCATATTTCTGACCTGAGTTGGGCCCTGTGGCCTCAGGCCTTGTGGCATCTACAGATGCCATGTTTATTCTGACACCTCTGCCTTCCATGCAGTGGAGCCATAATTATCCCAGGATATCATGGCCCCAGAACACCAACCCCTAAATACTGTGTGTACTTGGTGTCCCCAGACTAGATTCTGAGGCTCATATTCCAAATAATCCTACATATAATAGGATCACTGAGAGACACAGAGATAAATCAGGGACTTCAAAAAGCAAAGGCATAAACACACAGAGAATGAGCCAGAGGAAGGGGATTGAGAGACTCACAGACACACAAAAAGAAAGAAAAGAGGGCAGAGGAGTGGAGAGAATGCTGGAAGGGAGGAGAGAAAAGCCCCAAAATCAGAACCCTGAGGGAGGGGCACAAAGACAGAGAAAGATAAAGATGTGGGGATGGATTGCAGAGATTCCAAATAGAACTAGAGAGACTGAGAGGCAGAGAAAGACAAGGAGATGGAGAGAGACAGATGATAGATGGATAGATAGATATAGATAGATGATAAATAGGTAGATGATAGATAATGGATAGGTTATAGATACATAGATGATGATTGATAGATGATACATAGAGATGATGATGATGATGATGATGAAGATAGATAGATAGAAGACACATATATAAATATATAGATACATAGATGATACATAGAGACTGACAGGCAGACAGAGAGGTAATAGAGAGAGAGAGAGATGATACATAGATACAGATAATACATAGATGATTGATGGATAGACAGATAGACAATTGATAGATAAATGATACATAGATATAGATGACAGATAATTTGTAGATAGACACAAAATAGATAGATAGATAATAGATAGAAATATGCAGAAAGTTATGAACAAGACAGAAAGTGAGAGACTCAGAATTATAGAAAAAGGAAGATCAAGTCAACCAATCCAAGGAGAGTCAGAGAGAATAAAACAATCCAAAAAGGGAAAGCATACCCAGGGGTGGGGAAGTGAGGTCAGAGACCTAGAGAGACAGAGAAGGCGGAAGGAGGAAATAGACATGAAGAGAGTTGGGGTGGAGGGTGAGAGAGAGAGAGAGCATTAGGTCATAGAGCAGGGGAGTGAGTTCTCAGCTCAGGTATGAGGGGAGCTGTGACAAGGAAGAACCTCCCTGAGGAAACTGCCTCTTCTCCTTCCAGGTCTATATGAGAAACCTTCTCTCTCAGCCCAGCCGGGCCCCACGGTTCAGGCAGGAGAGAACGTGACCTTGTCCTGTAGCTCCTGGAGCTCCTATGACATCTACCATCTGTCCAGGGAAGGGGAGGCCCATGAACGTAGGCTCCGTGCAGTGCCCAAGGTCAACAGAACATTCCAGGCAGACTTTCCTCTGGGCCCTGCCACCCACGGAGGGACCTACAGATGCTTCGGCTCTTTCCGTGCCCTGCCCTGCGTGTGGTCAAACTCAAGTGACCCACTGCTTGTTTCTGTCACAGGTGAGGAAAACCCGTGTCTGTCCCATGTCTTATGATCCTAGAGCCATAGCTGAGGAGCTTCCTGCCGATGATGGGGAGAAGCATGGACAGATGCAGAGAGAACACGAAGACTGGGTGTGGGGGGGGGTCAGGGTGCAGGATGGCAGACAGGGCACCTCCAAACCCTCTTGCATGGCCTGCATGGAGGCCCATGGTCAGGGCTCCAGGCACCCAGGCAGATGGAGAAAGCGGTCAGGACAGACCCAGAGAAGGGGAGACTGGGCTCAGTTTGGGGAGATCAGAGGTTCCCTCAGCCCCTCAACCTTACCCATTTCCCAGAAGCCCATCCTGGCCTCTCACCCACACAGAGAGATGTCATCACCAGCAACCCCTACACTCTTTTCTTTTCATTTTCAAAAATATTTATTGAGGTTAAATGTAACTATATAATTTACCAACTTTACCATTTTTAAAAGTAAAATCTAGTGGTCATAAATACCTTTATATGCTGGGTGTGGTGGTTCACGGTTGTAATCTTGGCGCTTTGAGAGGCCAAGAAAGGTGGATCATTTAAGATCAGGGACTCGAGATCAGCCTGGCCAACATGCGGGAAATTCATCTTTACTAAACAGACAAGAAAAATTAGCCAAGCATGCCGGCATGCACCTGTAGTCCTAGCTACTTGGGAGGCTGAGGCAGGAGAAGCACTTAAAGCCAGGAGGCAGAGGTTGCACTGAGCCGAGATCATGCCACTGCACTGCAGCCTGGGAGACAGAGAGAGACTCTGTTTCTAAATAAATAAATACATCTATATTCTTTTTTTTGTTACCTTCCACCCTTCCCTTCCTGGCCTCTGGTATCCACCATTCTATTCTCTACCTTCATGAGATCCACCTTTTATCTCCTGCATGTGGTGAGAAATGGGAATCTTTGTAATGACCTCCAGTTCCATCCATGTGGCTGCAAATGACAGGATGTTATTGTTTCTATGGATGAGTAGTCTCCACCGTGTGTGTGTACTACAGTTCTCTATCCATTCACCCACTGATAGGCAGGTAGGTTGACTCCACATCTTGGCTACTGTGAACAGTGCTGGAACAGTCATATGAGTGCAGATATCACTTCGATACACTGATGTCCTTTCCTTTGGATATAAACCCAGTAGTGAAATTGCTGGACACTATGAAAGTTCTCTTTTTTTTTTTTTCTTTTTTGAGAAAGAGTTTCCCTCCTTAGTCCAAGCTGGAGTCAAAGTGGTGCGATCTTGGCTCATTGCAACCTCTGCTTCCTAGGTTCAAACGATTCTCCTGACTCAGCCTCCCTAATAGCTGTGATTACAGGTGCACGCCACCATGCCTGACTAATTCTTGTATTTTTTAGCACAGACGGGATATCCCAATTTTGGGCAGGCTGCTCTCAAACTCCTGACCTCAAGTGAGGTGCCTGCCTCGGTTTCCCAAAGTGCTGAAGTTACAGGCATAAGCCACTATGCCCAGCCTCCTTTTAGTTTTTTAAAGATTTTCCATACTTTTCTCCATAATAGTTGTACTAATTTACATTCCTACCAACAGGGTACCAGGGTTCTCCTTTCTCTACCATCTTGCCAGCATTTGTTTTGCCTGTCTTGCAGATAAAAGCCATTTTACTTTACTTTATTTATTTATTTATTTATGTTGAGATGGAGTTTCACTCATAGTCGCCCAGGCTGGAGTGCAAGGGTGTGATCTCGGCTCACTGCAACCTCTGCCTCCCGCGTTCAACTGATTCTCCTGCCTCAGCCTCCAAAGTAGCTGGGATTACAGGCATGTGCCACCACGCCTAGCTAATTTTTGTATGTTTAGTAGAGAGGGAGTTTCTCCATGTTGGTCAGGCTGGTCTCCCGACCTCAGGTGATCCGCCCACCTCCGCCTCCCAAAGTGCTGGAATTACAGGCGTGAGCCACCGGCCTAAAAGGCATTTTAATGGGATGAGATGAAAACTCATCGCGATTGTAATTTACATTTCTGTGATGATGAGTGATGCTGAGCACTTTTTCATATACGTGATCGCCATTTCTATGTTTTGTTTGTGGAGAAATGTCTCCTCATGTCTTTTGCTCGTTTTTTAATTAAATTGTTTTATTGAGTTGTTTGAGCTTCTTATATTTCCAGTTATTAATCCCATCTCAGATGAATAGTTTGCAAATATTTGCTCCTATTTTGTGGGTTGTCTCTTCACTTTGTTGGTTTATCTTTGGTGGTGCAGAAGTTGCTTGGTTTGATGTAATCCTAATGGTCTATTTTTTGCTTTGATTACTTGTGTTTTGAAGGTTTTAAACAAAATGTCTTTCGTCAGACAAATGTCTTCCCCATTATTTTCTTCTACATGTTTCATAGGTTCAGGCCTTAGACTCATGTTTTTAATCCATTTTCATTTGATTTTTGTGTAAGGTGACAGGTATAGATGCAGTTTTATTCCTCTGCATGTAGATATCCAGTTTTCCCCACACCATTTATTGAAGACTGTCCTTTCCTGATTGTAAGTTCTCGGCACCTTTGTCAAAGTCCATTAAATGGGCTGGGTATGGTGGCTCACACCTGCAATTCCAGCACTTTGGGAGGCCGAGGCGGGTGGATCACCTAAAGCCAGGAGTTCAAGACCAGGCTGGCCAACAGAGTGAAACCTCGTCTCTACTAAAAATACAAAAATTAGCTGAGCATGGTGATCAGTGCCTGTAATACCACTACTCAGGAGTTTGAAGCAAGAGAATTTCTTGAATCCAGGAAGTGGAGGTTGCATTGAGCTGAGATTGCACCTCTACACTCCAGCCTGCATGACAGAGCAAGATTCTATCACACACACACAAAAGAAAGCCATTGGATGTAAATGCATGGATTATATCTGTGTTCTTCATTCGGTTCCATTTTTTATGTGCCTTTCTTTATGCCAATGTCATGCTGTTTTGCTTACTACAGCTCTGTAACATATTTCTAAGTCAGGTAGTGTGATGCTCCTGTTTTCTCTTTATACCTTCAAGTCTCAAGACAGTGGGCATCGCACACAAAAATTATGGAGAAAAGGATCCCAAGACTCCCAGGGTCCAACATTAGATAACAGAGTGTTGGCCATGAACCAACCTCAAAGATTTCCATTGAGTAGAGGACAAGCACCCTCATTTCCTCACATCTCTCCTGTCCCGTGTTCTAGGAAACCCTTCAAGTAGTTGGCCTTCACCCACAGAACCAAGCTCCAAATCTGGTGAGTAAAGGACCCCTCTTATCTCTGCTTTTGGAAACCTGGGGAGGTGGAAGCCTTGGATGCAAGTGTTGGCTCAAACCTCCCAGCTCTGTGAATGAGGGCCTGTCTTCCACCATCTCTGAACTCCAGACACTCCAACAGTGAAAGGGATCTAGGGCCACCAAAGGGCTCAGCGAAGTCTCTTTACCTTTAATTTCCTGCAGGTGAGACCTCCTACAAGCTAGAAGAATAATTGCCAATCTGACATCCTTCTCAGGAAAAATGCAGTGTTTTTTCTGCCTGCATTCCTAACTGGAGGATAAATTCCCGGGGGCTTGAGAGAGGGAAGGGAAGGGAACATCTGATGAGGGTGGGTGTTTTAGAGAAGTTCCACTTGCCAAGGAATGAATTACTGTTGGTCATCAGGCAACCCTGGCTGACTCAGCAGAGCAAGAGCCTTGCCGTAACAGAGAACAGAGCTCATGCACGCACACTTCGACTCAGTGACTCATTCAGCCACAGCCCCATGCTCAGGCTGTGCAGTGTGGAAGCTTTTCCTATTGTTGCCATAACAAATTTCCACAAGATTCGTGTGTGAAAACAAAACGGTTATTTAATTATCTTACAGTGCTGTAGCTCAAAGCATGACGTGCATGTCACTGGGCTAAAATCAAGGTGACAGCAAGGCTGCCTTCCCTCTGAGGGTTCCAGGCAAGAATCTGCTTCTCACTTTTCTCAGCTTCTAGAGGCTCCCATGTTCCTTGGCTCCTGGTACCCTTCCTCCTTCCTCAAAGCCCACAAAGACTGGTCACATCTCACATGGCATCACTCAGACCCTTCTTCCTTACCACACCTCTTTCTCTGAATGCTGCTCTCCCTTCTTGCCCTTCTTTTGAAAACTTGGGGATTCTATTGGGTTCACCAAGATGAAAATCCATCATAATCTCCCGGAAATCATCCAGGATACCCTCCTTTTAAGTTCAGCTGACTAGCAACCATAATTCCATCTGCAATCTTCATTCCTCCTTTCATGTAAAATAACATATTCACAAGCTATGGAGGCTAGGACATGGACATTTTTGGGGTGGGACAACATTCTCCTGCCTTCCACAAACAGTGAACAAGATGCATTTGGCCTCTGTTCTTGGGACACTGATCTTGCAGATGGTTAAATGGGAGGGCAGAAAATGTAGGCACAAGGGGACCAATAAATGAATGATCTATTGAGAAGCATCTGTGCATGAAATCTATTTATTTATGTATTTACCTACTTGTTTATTGAGACGGAGCCTTGCTCTGTCGTCCAGGCTAGAGTGCGGTGGCATGATCTCGGCTCACTGCAACCTCCACCTCCTGGGCTGAACTGATCTCCTCCCTCAGCCTCTCCAGTAGCTGGGATTACAGACCACAACCACCACGCCCGGCTAACTCTTTTTGCATATTTTCTGTAGAGAGGATGTTTCACCATGTTGGCCAGGCTGGTCTCAAATTCCCAACCTCAGGTGATCCAATAGCCTCTGCCTCCCAACACGCTGGGATAAGAGGCATGAGCCACGGGGCCAAGCCAAATTTTCAAATCAATAATAGATAATGCTGAGTGTATTATTTCAGGTGACAGAGAAGTTCTCACTAATCAGATATTTGTGACATTAATGAAAAACACGGATTGAACCCCTGAAAGATTGGCGGAAGGATTTTGCACACACAGCTGTCAGCCGTGAAGGCACAAAGGTGAAAACAATCTGATGTGGAAGGAAGAGGCTCTGCCTGAAATGCTGGGAATGAGGTGGGGAGAATGACAAGATGACTGTAGAGAGACGGAGAGCACACTGGGTACACAGGAAACTAAGGAGCAACAAGGAGCGTGTGTTTGACACTCACAGCCATTGGATTCACCTCGAGGTAACCAGGAATCCCTACATGATTAATATGACTGACATGAAAATAAGGGAGGCTCAGTTGCATAACTGGAATCTAGGAGACCGTGGAAAAGGCAATTGCCGCCCCACTGGTGAAATGTGGTGCTGATTTAGACACTAAATGAATGAAGTAGATGGATATAAGATATGTTTGTGAGGTAGAATCATTGGCTGGAAAGGCTTGCTGGGTTTAATTTTTCCTGGTAGTTTAATCCTCGCTTCACTAACTTATTTCTGAGATTTATTTCTCCTGCATCTAAATCAATACCTGGCAGAGGAGGGAGAGCTAGATGAGGGGTGGTGCAAATGAAGGGACCTAGTATAGCATAATATACAAGGCTGTGAACGGTGGCTCACGCCTGTAACCCAGCACTTCAGGAGGCCAACGCGGGTGGATCACATGAAGTCAGGAGTTCGAGACCAGCCTGGCCAACATGGAGAAACCCTATCTCTACTAAAAATACAAAAATTAAACAGGCATGATGGTGGTGCATGACTGTAATCCCAGCTACTCTGGAGGAGGAAGCAGGAGAATGACTTCAGCCCTGGAGGCAGAGGTTGCAGTGAGTGGAGATCGCATCACTGCACACCAGCCTGGGCTACACAGGGATACTCTGTCTCAAAAAATAAAAATAAAAAATACATAAATATAATAATATACACAAATGATGCAGGCACCTGAATTCCAATCATCATTTTTCTATTCCTCTATAATTACTTCTTTGATCCTTTATCTTATCCATTAGAAAATCAGCCTAAAACCTCTTCCATATTTGGCTTTCTGTGAACATGAGATCATATGGAAAATATGAAAGCCCCCTGAACCCACCAGCACAGGCCCTGAAATAGGGAAAGTGCTCTGTTCATCACAAGAAACTTTCCCCCTCACCCAAATCCCCCACCTCACCCCTACTTCCAATCACCTGTGGAGATACAGATAGATCATGGGGAGGTAAACGCTAATACTCCTTGGAGTGAGTTCAGATCTTGGAATCAGAGATCAGCACCAGCACTAGCTCCTGCTCCCCTTTCCTACTAATTCACAGGAGGACAGGTGGTTTTGAAGCAATAGATGGTGGAGGGGGTGGTCTTTCCCCCAGCCTCTCAGGTGGAACAGCAGCCTAACATGTGTCTCGCGAGATCACAAAGAGTAGCACGTTTCACATGGGCTTCATCATTATTTCCTGGCTGTTTGACATAAGAGAATTCTACTTTGCTTTTTTGATCTTGATTTCACTTTTGTGTCCTTTTCTTGGAGAATGTAATTTGAGTCAAGAGGGTTGTGGATGTAGAAACTGTAAAGCACATTCACTGTGTATCAATCCCAGTCCAGTCTTTCCAGAGAAGACTCTAAACACCTGCTGTACTGCACCTGGGCCTATGCCAATTTCTATCACTCACCGTCACTCCAGGGAGACAGAACACACAGAGAATACGTTACATAGGCAGGTTCATTACTAACAGATAAGCAGCGAGTGACAACAGAAGCCTACATTTCAACGTGAGCCAGTCCCTCAAGGCTCAGAAAAGCTGCTCGGGACATATGGAGTCACCTCATTTGCAGTGTATCTGGGGGAAGCCAGAAAATAGCCCAGCCTGGGTTTTGTACCCTGAAGCCACAGGAAGCACTCAGCTAAAGCACTGCATGACGTCCTCCTCCAGGAAGAACAGGAAGACAGCACAGGCTGTTCTGAGACGTTCCTCCTGATCTCAGGACGTTGCTGTCTTAGTCCATTTTTGTTGCTATAAAAGAACACTTGAGCCTGGGTTACTTCTTTTTTTTTTTTTTTTTTTTTGTATAGTGCTTCTGATGAGCTTTTTTTTAAAATTTTTATTATTATTATACTTTAAGTTTTAGGGTACATGTGCACAATGTGCAGGTTAGTTACATATGTATACATGTGCCATGCTGGTGTGCTGCACCCATCAACTCGTCATTTAGCATTAGGTATATCTCCTAATGCTATCCCTCCCCCCTCCCCCCACCCCACAACAGTCCCCAGAGTGTGATGTTCCCCTTCCTGTGTCCATGTGTTCTCATTGTTCAATTCCCACCTATAAGTGAGAACATGCGGTGTTTGGATTTTTGTCCTTGTGATAGTCTACTGAGAATGATGATTTCCAATTTCATCCATGTCCCTGCAAAGGACATGAACTCATCATTTTTTATGGCTGCATAGTATTCCATGGTGTATATGTGCCACATTTTCTTCATCCAGTCTATCATTGTTGGACATTTGGGTTGGTTCCAAGTCTTTGCTATTGTGAATAGTGCCACAATAAACATACGTGTCCATGTGTCTTTATAGCAGCATGATTTATAGTCCTTTGGGTTTATACCCAGTAATGGGATGGCTGGGTCAAATGGTATTTCAAGCTCTAGATCCCTGAGGAATCGCCACACTGACTTCCACAATGGTTGAACTAGTTTACAGTCCCACCAACAGTGTAAAAGTGTTCCTATTTCTCCACATCCTCTCCAGCACCTGTTGTTTCCCGACTTTTTAATGATCGCCATTCTAACTGGTGTGAGATGGTATCTCATTGTGGTTTTGATTTGCATTTCTCTGATGGCCAGTCATGGTGAGCATTTTTTCATGTGTTTTTTGGCTGCATAAATGTCTTCTTTTGAGAAGTGTCTGTTCATGTCCTTTGCCCACTTTTTGATAGGATTGTTTGTTTTTTTCTTGTAAATTTGTTTGAGTTCATTGTAGATTCTGGATATTAGCCCTTTGTCAGATGAGTAGGTTGCGAAAATTTTCTCCCATTTTGTAGGTTGTCTGTTCACTCTGATGGTAGTTTCTTTTGCTGTGCAGAAGCTCTTTAGTTTAATTAGATCCCGTTTGTCAATTTTGGCTTTTGTTGCCGTTGCTTTTGGTGTTTTAGACATGAAGTCCTTGTCCATGCCTATGTCCTGAATGGTAATGCCTAGGTTTTCTTCTAGGGTTTTTATGGTTTTAGGTCTAACGTTTAAGTCTTTAATCCATCTCAAATTAATTTTTGTATAAGGTGTAAGGAAGGGATCCAGTTTCAGCTTTCTACCTATGGCTAGCCAGTTTTCCCAGCACCATTTATTAAATAGGGAATCCTTTCCCCATTGCTTGTTTTTCTCAGGTTTGTCAAAGATCACATAGTTGTAGATATGTGGCATTATTTCTGAGGGCTCTATTCTGTTCCATTGATCTATATCTCTGTTTTGGTACCAGTACCATGCTGTTTTGGTTACTGTAGCCTTGTAGTATAGTTTGAAGTCAGGCAGCATGATGCCTCCAGCTTTGTTCTTTTGGCTTAGGATTGACTTGGCAATGCAGGCTCTTTTTTGATTCCATATGAACTTTAAGGTAGTTTTTTCCAATTCTGTGAAGAAAGTCATTGGTAGCTTGATGGGGATGGCATTGAATCTATAAATTACCTTGGGCAGTAAGGCCATTTTCACGATCTTGATTCTTCCTACCCATGAGCATGGAATGTTCTTCCATTTGTTTGTATCCTCTTTTATTTCATTGAGCAGTGGTTTGTAGTTCTCCTTGAAGAGGTCCTTCATATCCCTTGTAAGTTGGATTCCTAGGTATTTTATTCTCTTTGAAGCAATTGTGAATGGGAGTTCACTCATGATTTGGCTCTCTGTTTGTCTGTTATTGGTGTATAAGAATGCTTGTGATTTTTGTACATTGATTCTGTATCCTGAGACTTTGTAGAAGCTGCTTATCAGCTTAAGGAGATTTTGGGCTGAGACAATGGGGTTTTCTATATATACAATCATGTCATCTGCAAACAGGGACAATTTGACTTCCTCTTTTCCTAATTGAATACCCTTTATTTCCTTCTCCTGCCTAATTGCCCTGGCCAGAACTTCCAACACTATGTTGAATAGGAGTGGTGAAAGAGGGCATCCCTGTCTTGTGCCAGTTTTCAAAGGGAATGCTTCCAGTTTTTGCCCATTCAGTATGATACTGGCTGTGGGTTTGTTATAGATGGCTCTTATTATTTTGAGATACGTCCCATCAATGCCTAATTTATTGAGAGTTTTTAGCATGAAGCGTTGTTGAATTTTGTCAAAGGCCTTTTCTGCATCTATTGAGATAGTCGTCCGGTTTTTGTCTTTGGTTCTGTTTATATGATGGATTACATTTATTGATTTGCATATATTGAACCAGCCTTGCATCCCAGAGCCTGGGCAACTTCTAGAGAAAACAGATTTGTTTGCCTCACAGTTCTGCAGGCTGTACTGGAAGCATGGCACCAGCATCTGTTTCCTGTGACGGCCTCAGGCTGCTCCCACTCTGGCAGAAGGGAAGGAGGGTCTGTCTGTGCAGAGACCACAGAGATCACATGGCAAGAGAGGGAGCAAGGGGGAGGGCGAGCGATGGAGCTTCCAAGCTCTTTTTAACAACCAGCCCTCCGGGAACTAATAGAGGGGGAACTTGCTAACCCCATCATGTGGGGCAGCATTAATCTATTCATGATGGATCCACCTCCATGACTCAAACACCTTCCCATAGGCCCAAACTTCCACACTGGGGGTTAAATTTCAATATTTCAGTGTGAGGTTTCAAAGGGTCAAACATCTAAACTAAAGCAGCTGTATCCTCAGCATGTTCTATGGTTTCTATGAGAGCTGTAACTGAGAAAGCAGGAGAAAGCTGGGTCTCCCGCCATCAGGCTGCTTGTCCTAAGGAGATGTTCCATGTGGTTACCTGTCAATCAAGAAATGAGACAATCCATAAAGAGGAACTGCTATGATTAGCTTCTTATTGGATTCCCATCTTCCTCCAGGTATCTGCAGACACCTGCATGTTCTGATTGGGACCTCAGTGGTCATCTTCCTCTTCATCCTCCTCCTCTTCTTTCTCCTTTATCGCTGGTGCTCCAACAAAAAGAGTAAGTCTCACGAAGCAGAGGCCAGAGAGCTCAGGGCCATGTGGGGAAGCAGGATGGGAGCACGCGGGTGTGTGTTCCTCACTGGCAGGATGGTCCCTGGCCCAAGGGAGGAGCCACAGAGGCAGGGCTTTCTAGAGAGAGCACCAGACAACCTGCCCCTGCCTTCAGCTCACAGACCATTGCCTGGTTCTGAACTGTATCCTCACATCCCCTGCAGCTACTGACATCCAGAAGCTTCCATGACAGGCAGAAAGTGGGAGACAGAATCAATGGGATGCCAATTGAGAGCACTTCATGGGATGGGGTCTTGAACTCAGAGAGATAGAATGTCTGAGTCTGGATGTTGGCAGCTGAAGAGCCTCAGGCACCTACAGCCTCCCCCTGTGGGTTGGTGTCTGCCCATGAAATGAGGACCCAGAAGGGCCCTCCAAGCGGTTTTGATGACTTCCGTCTCCTACAGATGCTGCTGTAATGGACCAAGAGCCTGCGGGGGACAGAACAGTGAATAGGCAGGTAGGTCCTCCTCGGCCCAGCCTCACGGATACAGTCTTATCCCTAATAGTCCTGAAAAATGTGAGCACCCTCCCTCACTCAGCATTTCCCTCTCTCCAGGACTCTGATGAACAAGACCCTCAGGAGGTGACGTACGCACAGTTGGATCACTGCGTTTTCATACAGAGAAAAATCAGTCGCCCTTCTCAGAGGCCCAAGACACCCCTAACAGATACCAGCGTGTACACGGAACTTCCAAATGCTGAGCCCAGATCCAAAGTTGTCTCCTGCCCACGAGCACCACAGTCAGGTCTTGAGGGGGTTTTCTAGGGAGACAACAGCCCTGTCTCAAAACCAGGTTGCCAGATCCAATGAACCAGCAGCTGGAATCTGAAGGCATCAGTCTGCATCTTAGGGGATCGCTCTTCCTCACACCACGAATCTGAACATGCCTCTCTCTTGCTTACAAATGCCTAAGGTCGCCACTGCCTGCTGCAGAGAAAACACACTCCTTTGCTTAGCCCACAAGTATCTATTTCACTTGACCCCTGCCCACCTCTCCAACCTAACTGGCTTACTTCCTAGTCCTACTTGAGGCTGCAATCACACTGAGGAACTCACAATTCCAAACATACAAGAGGCTCCCTCTTAACACGGCACTTACACACTTGCTGTTCCACCTTCCCTCATGCTGTTCCACCTCCCCTCAGACTATCTTTCAGCCTTCTGTCATCAGTAAAATTTATAAATTTTTTTTATAACTTCAGTGTAGCTCTCTCCTCTTCAAATAAACATGTCTGCCCTCATGGTTTCGATAATGTGACTCTTTATTCGCCAAAAGTTTCCAGTGTTATCATTACTATGTCCATATAACCTGATATGTTCTCTACTGGGTTCTCAGCCCTGGACTCTGAGCTTCTGGAAGCAGGGTGGAGCCTCATTTGTCTCTGGGACTCCAATTTCCATCCAAAGATGCAGCACATAGGAGGTTCCAAGGATCGTGAATCACATGAACAAGTGATATTCTTACTCTCTGCAGACCTGGAAAGCTGGCAGAGTCATTCCAAGATGAAACATTTGTAGAGTCATAGGCCTTGTTAGTCTCATCTCCACAGGGACACATGTCAACACATCATCTTTCATACTATAAATATACAGTCGCTCCTCCATATCTGTGGGGTTTACAGGTGTTTATTGAACCAAATATAAATCAAAAATATTCAGAGAAAAAATCCACAAAGTTCCAAAAAGCAAAAATACTATACTGTGTGGACACAAGTGAGGTGGTGTGTAGGCTGTATCAGGAATTATAAGTAATCTAGAGATGATTTCATGTATACAGGAGGATGTGCATGGGTTATATGCAAACGCTGTGCCATTTCATGCAACAGGCTTGAGCATCTGCAGATTTTGGTGTCTGGTAGGGAGGGGGGTTTCCTGGAACCAATCACCCATGAATAGTGAAGGACAACTGTATATAATTTTCATTCATCAATTTTATAAATAAATCATCAAAATGTATGATAATAAGATAAAAAATTAGCAGTGTTTTTATGGTGTGAAAATAAGCTTAGATTTATTTTTTCCTGCTTGTAACCCTCTGGTCCAATGTTATTTACTGAGAAGACATTCTATTCCACCTTAATCCGCATGGCAGCCTCTGTCAACTATAAAAGGACTGTGTGTACACAGATGTATTTTACACACTCTTTTCTGCTCAGTGGCTCTCTGTGTCCACTCTCATGAGGATGCTGCACTTTATGTGGCCTTATAGAACCCCTTAAAATTTGGCAGCCTGAATCCTCTAATTTCTCCTTCCTCTTTAAGATTGCCATTATTATTATTATTGGCTATTTGCTTTTCCATGTAAATTTGTAATCATTTTTCTCATTTCCACCAAAAACAATGCTTGTAATTTTGTTGTGACTCCCTTACATCTACAGGTAAGTTCTGTCCTATAGAAACATAATGCAAACCACATGCATTCTTTCAAACTTGCTAGTATCCAAATTAAAAAGCTAACAAGAAACAGATAAAATTAATTTAAGTTAACCCAATGGACCCAAAATATTATTAACCCAACAGACCCAAAATATTAACCTAATAGATCCAAAATATTATTTTATTATACAAGTAGACTCAAAATATTATCATTTCAACATGTAATCATGTGTCATCTTGGAAAACATCAGATCCCTGTCTAGGTGGGCAAAGATTTTTCTTCGTAATATCTCATTTCCACATTTCCACTTGGCACAGAAACTGCCCCCAAGGCTCAGGATACTAAGATGCAGTAGGAATGGGTAGATGTATCTGGAGGAAAGTGACTGAATGAAATTGAGACATCAGAGTCTGGGAAACTCACTAGAACTACAGGGACAGTGTGGGGGAGGGAATTGGGAGATGTTGATCAAAGGATACAAACTATCAGGTATTCAGGAGGAATGGGTCTGAAGATCTCTTGTACAGCTTTGCCACTATGGTTGACAATACTGTACTCTATACTTGAAATTTACCAGGAAAGTAGATTTTTTTTTTTAAATATGGAACACTTCACGAATTTGCGTGTCATTCTTGCGCAGGGGCCATGCTAGTTTTCTCTGTATCGTTCCAATTTTAGTATATGTGCTGCCGAGGCAAGCATGGGAGAGTAGAT